>NC_000007.14:151579591-151731107 GCF_000001405.40 Homo sapiens
AGAAAAGAAGGCTATGCATTGAGCATCACATTCATTCTGGAATTTTTCTGAGGGCATTTCCCACATCATCTGCACATAGGTCAATTTCAACAAGAAGCTGAAATTTATCAAGAAGAATCAAACAAATCCCAGGTAAGATAAACACAAAGAAAACCACACCTAAGCACGTCATAGACAAGATGCTAAAAACCAAAGGTAAAGGGAAAATCAGCTAGAGGGGGAAAAGACACATTGGCTTTCAAAAGGGTAACAAGCAGGCTGACGGCTGACTTTCCAGCAGAAACTATGAAAGTCAGAAGACAAGAGAAAGAAAACTTTAAGATGCTAAAATAAAAAACCTGCCAATCTAGGTTAGAGCATATATCCAGTGAAGATATCCTTCAAAAAGGATTGGCAAAGTAAGGTTTTTTGGATTAAAAAAGCAGAGAAAATTGTCACCAACCAACCAGCATTAAGAAATACTTAAGGGAGGCCAGGTGCACTGGCTCATGCCTGTAATCCCAGCACTTTGGGAGGCCAAGGTGGGGGGATCACTTGAGGTCAGGAGTTCAAGACCAGCCTGGCCAACGTGATGAAAAAACCCCATCTCTACCAAAAATACAAAAATTAGTCGGGTGTGGTGGTGCGCACCTGTGATCCCAGCTACTTGGGAGGCTGAGGCAGGAGAATCACTTGAACCCAGGAGGTGGAGGTTGCAATGAGCTGAGACCATGCCACTGTACTCCAGCCTGGGTGACAGAGTGAGACTCCATCTCAAAAAAAATAAAAAATACTTAAGGAGTCCTCTGCACTGAAGGAAAGATTCTAGACCTGCACAGAACCGTAGGAGGGAACAAAGAGCACAGGAGAGGGCAGAGATGTAGGTGAACATAAATCAATACTGCATAAAGCCAGAGTAATGATATCCTGTGGGATTCATAACTTATATAGAAGCAAAATATATAACAATAGCACATAGGGTAGGAGACGGTTTAACTTTTGTATACATTTTTTGCATTGTTTGGGACTTGGTAAAATTATTATTAAAAGATGGAAAGTAGTAAGTCAAAGATGCTATGTAATCTGTAAGACAGCCTCTGAAAGATCAACAAAAGAATGTATAACTAAGTTCACATGTTCTCATCCATTTGTGGGAGCTAAAAATGAAAACAACTGAACTCATGGAAATAGAGAGTAGAATGATGGTTACCAGAGGCTGGGAAGGGAGGGTAGTGGGGGTGGGTGCGGGGAGGAAGTAGGGGCAGTTCATGGATAAAAAAATGTAGTTAGATAGAATGAATACGGTCTAGTATTTGATGGCACAGCAGGGTGACTACAGTCAACAATAATTTATTGTACATTTAAAAATAACCAATAATTGGGATGTATGTAATGTAAAGAAATCATAAATGCTTGAGGTTATGGACACCCCATTTATCCTGATGTGATTATACAATGTATGCCTGTATCAAAATATTTCATGCACCCTATAAGTATATACACATACTATGTACCCATAAAAATGAAAAAAGAATGTATAACTAAAAAGCTAGCAGAGGAGAAAAATGGGTTAAACATAGTTTGTTAAATCGAGTGAAGAAGGAATAAAAGAACAAATCAATAGAAAAAGTGAAAAACGCATAGCAAAATGGTAGACAAACCTAACTATAGCAGTAACTGCATGAAATGAAAATGGACTAAACGGTAATTAAATGCTATTCTAGGCATTTATTGCATGGTTTAATTGCAATTGTCAATACAGAAAGTAAACGAACCTTGTCTATGACCTAAGTCCTAGGATCCTATCAAGGACTGCCTTTCTCTAATAAGGGCCAATGAGTCCAATGGATCTAAACCATAGATGAGACCACGTGAGAGCCAAACAAGAGGGCTTCCTTCAGTGGACACATTTCTAGAAGCTTCTGGCAGAGACTATTGTATCCAGCTTCAAGACATAAATGACTGAGCACAGTGGACATCTACACACAAAAATCTCTGGTCAAATAGTGTAATAATTTAAAAAAACCCAAGAATAAATATTGCTATTAGCTTAGTTTGTGAATATTTTGATATTTTGATATTTAATGTTTACACCTTGTACAAATGATCACATATAGATCCAACAGATTTAATGGACATTTTTACACTACAGTGAGCCTCATCACACCTCAGGCTTAAAAGAATGATACCAACAAAAGCAGGGGTTTAAGTTTAACACTCAAATATGATGATTATTACTTCAGACTCAGAAAAAAACATCCTGCTTCCCCATAATAAATTCTCAGACTAATCTGCTACAAAAGCGTTCAGCCCCCAAAATGCTGCAGATACTGTTTACGGTGAGGCCACTGTGAACAACACAAACAGGAAATAACTGCCTAACACCAATTCTTAAGGTGGCAAATACATGTATGGGAAAGTATACGGGGTAATAATACAGACGTTAGAAACTGATCACGCGTGCTGAATCAAGTTAATTCTGAGATGAAAGACACTGATGCTGCGTGGTCAATGGCAGGGAGGGATGGAGGGAGGAATTAATTAATTTCAGACAGTATCGGTCCAACAGAGGGATCGATGTATGTATGTACGTATGAATGACAGGGTCTCGCTCTGTTGCCCAGGCTGGAGTGCAGTGGCAGGAACATGGCTCACTGCAGTCTCAACCTCCTGGGTTCAAGTGATTCTCCCACCTCAGCCTCCTGAGTAGCTGGGACCACAGGTGCACACCACCACAGCTAGCTTTTTATTTTGTTATTTTTTGTAGAGACAGGGTCCGGTTATGTTGCCCATGCTGGTTTGAACTCCTGAACTCAAGTGATCCTCCTGCCTCTGCCTCCCAAAGTGCTGGGATTCCAGGGGTAAGCCACCTCCCCCAGCCCAATGGCAAGGTTTATAGAGAGAAAAGCCCCAGTGAAGCAGCAGTTCAATGGCAAAGAGAACGTTAAGAATTTAACGTGCAAAGTGGTATCTCTTCTGCAACAGAAGATAAAACAACCAAGGCTCACGGAAGCACGTGGAGTGAATTAAGAGGCCATCCCACTTCTTGTCAACGAGCTAAGGTGCTACACCTACTGGACTTCAACTTCTCGTTTTCCACATAAAATGTGTATCTCTACAGAACAGGGACACTGCTTCATTTCTCAAACTGAAATCATAAGCACAGCAGCTCACTTCGTTTTTCTGATGGCCTCAAGCACCAAGGCTTTCTCGCGGGCTCCTTGGCCCGTGCCAGCTGTGTGGTGGCTGCTCAGTCACTTAACCCTCTGTGAGCCTCAACATGCTGTTATAAAATGGGGCTAATGGATATTTCCTCACAGGTGTAGGGTGTGGATTGAATAGGCTAGTATTTGAAGATGTTCAGTATGGTGCTCAGCACTAACAGCCAAGAAGAACAAATGCTTAAAATTTCCAGTCTATACTGACCAAACCAGAAGCCAACAGAAATTTCTTCTTTTTTTCACTTTGGAGACAGGGTCTTACTCTGTTGCCCAGGCTCAAGTATAGTGGTATGATCACGGCTCACTGCAGCCTCAACCTCGTAGGCTCAAGTGATCCTTATGCCTCAGCCTCCTGAGTAGCTGGGATCACAGGCATATGCCACCATGCTCAGCTAATTTTTAAATCTTTTTGTAGAGATGGGGTTTTGCCATGTTGCCCGGGCTGGTCTCAAACTCTAGGCCTCAAGTGATCCTCCTGCTTCAGCCTCCCAAAGTGCTGGGATGAAAGATTTATTCTTTTAATTTCATCCACATACACTGTTGACCTGTCCGCAGGTCACTGAGGAAGTCTCAATTCCATCCTTCAGAGATCTCATATAATATTCCAAACGGACATGATACTCGTACAATGCATTAAAGAGCAGTGTCCTGGGTGAGCTCGGGAGGGGCCTGACGCTTCTGTGGTTTTGCCGACCTTCTTTGCAATAACGAGGCCTTCTAAAACTTGGCTTTCTTAAGAACACGTGCATGGAGCTGTTTATAAAGCAATTTAAAATCATACTTGGAAAATTCTCCATAATTATAGACGGCACAGGGTGTTCCAATTAACCAATAAACAGGATACAAAGAGGACTAACACAATCTAGTTCTAATTTGCAGGAAGAAACCGCTCAGGGATCTTGAGTACCTTTGAAAATTTCTTTCCTTTTAACTGATACGCAATTTGCTCAAACTATGATTAATTTTAAAGTTTACATTTTAATAGGATTTTCAACACATTTCAAAGCAAATGTGATAATTAGATAAGAAAAGATGGGAAATAAAATGTTCATAGGTAAGTTTTTAGAATAGTGAGCAGGCCCGAGCTGCTCTAAGAGACTCTGGCAGTCTATACCAAGGAGAACATCTGTGTTCCCCAGAATGGGAAGCTGGTTCCTCTGATGCCTCACTGCTTTCTACACAGCTTCACTCTGATTTTCAGTAATTAAGTTGACTGTGAAGCTTTTAAAATTAACGCTGATATCTACTGCGTCAAGAAGGGTCCAGCTTCTGAAATACGGTCGTCGAGACTCTTCTCCGTCCAGGCCCAGGCCTCCCTTGCCAGCTGCATGACTCCCTCCTCCCTGAACTCATCTTCCATGCCCCTCCAAGCCCCAGTACTCCTTCGACTTCAGAAGAACAGTTGCCCACCATTGCCATGGAAGGACTGTTTTCTGGAGGAAATGCACTGCTCCAGAAATAAAACAGACATAGGAACATGGGGCCTCCAATGAAAAAGATGGCTGGCTTACTGCTCTTCAGTGAAGCCCACCAAGCAAGAAGCCCACCTGTGAACTTGGTATGTCCATGCCAACTGTTAGCAGTCACTCTTAATTATGAATGAATGGGCAGCCATCTGACAGGGCCTTGAACGCTGAAGTCACACAAGTCCCAGTTTTACACAGATCTCACTAGAAGGGTTAGGAAAAAAAAAATCTTCCAAAAAGTGGAATGAAAAGAAAAATTGAAAAAACAATGGGAAAAGAATATTAAAGATCAACTCGGGGGTCTCAGAGCTGCTCACTGAAGTTCCGGAGAAAAGCAAGCACTGGGAAGAAAATGATTGAGGAAAGAATGCAAGGAAGGCTAGGCACAGTGGCTTCGGGAGGCCGCAGCGCTGAGGATCGCTTGAGCCTCGGGGTTCAAGACCCAGCTGGGCAACATAGCAAAACCCTGCCTCTACAAAAAATAAAATAATTAACTGAATGTGGTGGTGCACGCCTGTAGTCTCAGCTACTTGGAAGGCTGTGGCAGGAGGATCGCTTGAGCCCAGGAACTGGGGGCTGCAGTGGGCTGTGACTGCACTACCATACTCCAGCCTGGGTAACACAGTGAAACCCTATCTCTAAAATAAATAAATAAATAAAAATTCTAAAAAAGAAACAACGCAAGGACCAGAGAACTGGATACTAGGAGTGTCAGGTTCTAGCGGGACGTCACCTGCCCGGCACCATGAACTGACCACAAGACACATGATGATGGAATTTTAGGGTACCAGGTAGAAAGCGAGAGCCACAAAAGCTTCAGAGGGGAAAAATAAAATCATATATAAAGGCTGGGGATTTTAAAAAAGCATCAAATTTCTCTCGATCAGCACTGGTAGCTAGAAGAAATGGAATGATATTAGTACCTTCACAATTCTTAATAAAAATGATTTCTGTTATAGAATTCTAGACATAGCAGTCTACAGGTTGAACGTAAGTGATATATAAAATTTCAAGTAATACATTCCCACGCATCTTTTCTTGGGAGGTTTTATGGACTCAGTGTGTTTGGTTCAACGGCTCAACAGGTTGTTTCTGTGGAATATGACAAGAGTAAGGCACAGGAGCAAGAGACTATGTCTTTATTGTCAGTTTTTTTGGTACCACTTGACAGAAATTGTTAATATGTGCTTTGAAAAACTCTCAGCCACTAGTCTGCTCTGCTCCAGCACATTCCCGAGCACGAGCCCATGTGTGGCAGGGCTTGCCATTCTCCCTCCCTGTTCTCAGCCCGTTTTCATCTTTTTAGAATATTCACATGCTCTCATCTCTTCTGTCCTTGATGCCATATCAAGTGATCCTATGTATAAATTTTGCCTACTGAGGAATCTTTCTGCGTTTCGATTATTATCAGCTATCCCACCTGGTTTCAAGTCATCTGTAAATTAGATGATGCCATCAATGAAATCAATATTCAAGTCATTGTTCCAAAGCTGAAGAGCGTGGGGCACAAGAATGCTCTGGCGTACCCCCAGTTTCTCAGCTGGGGCTCCCCAGAAGGCAGAGTGTATTTGGGAATGTGATGCCAGGGAGCAGAAGTACAGGAAGGGAGGAAGGAGACGGGTGGGCGGGTGAGTCAGCGCAGGACGCGTTCCTGAGCTGCCGCCGCAGAGCCCACTGATGCTGATGCCAGTGGGATCTTCCTAGGACTGCATGTAGCTGCTAGCTTCTATCCTCCCCTGGCGGAGGAAGCTGGGGTACATGGGATGGTCCTGGGCTGAGGGCCGTCCCACTGCCCCTGCACAGAGTGAGGAGTGCTGGACTATGAGTTGATGTGAATGGATTTGGAAATGGCCCACGAGAGGCATCCAACACAATTAGAAACCTTGCTCCAGGTGTTGACTGAGATTTAAATATTAATTGATCTGCTTGGCTGCCAAGCTGCAGCTCTGCATCTCATCCTCTGGGACCTCGTGCCAGGCTCTGCCAGCCTACTCTAGCTGGAATCCAGACGTGCCTGTCATGGCACGGCCGTCTACGCAACAGCCACAAAAGAAAGGCAGGTGAATCTCCTGTAAATTTTTTTTTTGGTCAATTCATGACCGATTCCATTCATTCATAAATCTCAGCTGGGATTGATACTACATTCCCCAGCCTCTGCTTTTTGAGAAATCTATCTGCTCTTTCCTTTTATCTCTGGCCTCCGAAATCAGACCTCTTCTCCGCAACTCCTCCAATATCACGAACAGGTTAGGAATCTCCTTTGTAAGTTCCCTTTAATGCTAGAATGTGATTCATCTGGATCAGAAATGAGATGTGGTTCATGCTGACAGGTGCTCTCCGCAACTATTGTGGGCTTTAGTTTCCTCGAATCACTATTACTTTACCTCTTCCACTTTGAAGATCATTTTCCTTGATAATGAACAAAGTACAGTTTGAGCTGAGCAGTTCTGTTTTCTCTTTATTGACATCAGCAGCATCAGCCTGGAACAATAGGACCGGGGCTTCTCTTTCCTTCCTGCTTTTAAAATAATCAAGCGCCCCTTCCCTTTGTGCCTCTTAATTTTAACACTAAACTAGGATTGTCCTGGGCAGCTCCCTCCTATTCAAGCTTTCCTTTTACTTTACTTTTGATCATGTGCTCTGCATTCTGTATTCTCTACTCATTCTTCAAGGTGGGTGGATCACTTGAGGTCAGGAGTTCGAGACCAGACTGGCCAACACGGTGAAACCAAGCCTTTACTAAAAATACAAAAGTTAGCTAGGCGTGTTGTTGCCCGCCTGTAATCCTAGCTTCTCGGGAGGCTGAGGTGGGAGAATCGCTTCAAGTGAGCCGAGATTGCGCCACTGAACTCCAGCCTGGGCGACAGAGCGAGACTCTGCCTCAAAAGAAAAAATAGTGCTTGGCAAACAGCCACTTATTTGGATACTTGCTTGTTTTTTTGTTGGCATTATTCAAAATCACATTGCCTGGAATAATGTAAAGAACAAAATGAAGTTGTTCTGGATTATAACCCAAAAATAAATATCCATAAATCCATACTGAAATAGATGACTGAATAAACAAACAGATGGAGAAGGGACAAATCTCCCTTGCAGAAAAATCCCAACTAACTCACGTAGCTGCTCAGCCCTCACGGAGGTGAAGCGTCACTCCCCATGGCTAAGTGTGGGCTGTACGTGGTGACTTCCTTCTTGGGACTATGGCATGGAAAGGAGGAAGAAGAATCATCTCATGGTGGAAAAACCTGGCACACCTCAGCCAGGTAATGGAGAGTGGTAAGTCACACAGGCAGTAAGCACCCTGGAGACGGTATGATGAAAAGGGCACTTTACCTCTCTCTGGTCTTTCTCCTCCAAAGCCACATGCCCAGTCTAATCATGATAAATCATCATGCAAATCTCAGTAGAGGGCATTCTGGAAAATACCTGACCAACACTCCTCAAAACCGTCAAGGTGTCAAACACAGGGAGTACCTGTCTGAGAAGCTGTCCCACCTAAGGAGGCATGATGACGAGACGTGATGGGGTAACCTAGATGGGATCCTCCAACAGAAAACGGCATTATGCAAAAACTAAGGAAATCTGAAGAAAGCATGGACTTTAGCAAATAACCATGTATCAATATTGGTTCATTAACTGGGACAAATATAGACCACACTAACGCAAGATGTCAAAATTCAACTGGGTGTGGGGTATATGTAAATTCTCTGCACTAGCTTTGCCATGTTTCTGTACATCTAAAACTCTTATAAAACACTTGTTAAAAAAAAAAGCTATCATTTGTAGAGTATTGCTAAAAGAAGTTACATTGCCACTGTGAGGAAAAGCCTGGATCATTCCTAATGCTTCCCCCCACCAATCCTAGGGTGTGAGGATTCCATTATGAAGTTTTATTTATTTTTGGGCCTCTCATAATTCTCGAGGTGTCATCTTTTGGAATCACTAACTGATGTGGTTTGGCTGTGTCCCCACCCAAATCTCATCTTGAATTGAAGCTCCCATAATTCCCACGTGTCATGGGAGGGACCCAGTGGGAGGTAACTGAATCATGGGGGGGAGTCTTTCCCATGCTGTTCTCATGATAGTGAATAAGTCTCACAAGATCTGATTTTTTTTTTTTTTAAGACAGATTCTTGCTCTGTCGCCCAGGCTGGTGTGCAAGTGGTGCAATCTTGGCTCACTGTAACCTCTGCCTTCTGTGTTCAAGCGATTCTCCTGCTTCAGCCTCCCAAATAGCTGGGACCACAGGTACCCAACACCAAGCCCAGCTAATTTTCGTAATTTTAGGAGGACGGTTTCGCCATGTTGGCCAGGCTGGTCTCAAAATCCAGGCCTCAAGTGATCCACCTGCCTCGGCCTCCCAAAGTGCTGGGATTACAGGCGTGAGACACCGCACCCAGCGATCTGATGGTTTTATAAAGAGGAGTTCCCCTGCACAAGCTCTCTCTGCTTGCCGCCATCCATATAAGACATGACTTGCTTCTCCTTGCCTTCCACCATGATTGTGAGGCCTCCCCAGTCACGTGGAACTGTGAGTCCATTAAATCTCTTTTCCTTTATAAATTACCCAGTCTCAGGTATGTCTTTATTGGCAGCATGAAAACAGGCTAATACACTAACTGATACCTATCTTTCTCTGAATTCCTGGGCTTATCTGGAAGGGAAGGGGATGTCCCCCCTCTCTACTGTGCCAGTCATGAAGTTACTGTCTCTCTGCTCCATGCCCATCCCTCTAACTTGGCTTGGTGATGCTGGGACTTTGCAGACCCTGTTTCGGTGTTGCCAACTGGCTCTATTTCAGGTTCTGACAATACAGGAGTCTAGGGAGGGACTCAAAGCCAGAGCAGGAAGAAGGGCTTGCTCCTCCCGTCAGCGGCTAGCAGGGCTCCTGTCTGCCTGCAGCTCCCGTGAGCTCCACCCAGGCACTGCCTTACCTGGGCACCGAGGCACCTCCTGTAGCAGCGGCTGAATACAGTTTGTTGTTTTCCCATTTTGTGCAAAATGAGCTTCCTCAAGCCCCAACTCCCACCCAGAGACATAAGCACCAGCTAGAAGGCACGCGCCAGGACCCCCTCTCCTCCACGACACTGTGGAGTACACCAGACTCACACAGCATCATGGTGAAACATGGGTCACTGAGCCTCATCCCCCCGTTTTGGATTCGGGTCTCAGATTGGGTCTGATGAGCTGCGTTTTTAAAAGTTCCAGCTGATGCTGAAGCTGCTAGTCTGGGAATCAGACTTTGAGAACACTGCCTTAGAGGTCTTTATTTGTCCTTTCAGTTACCAGTTAATTTAGATCCAGTTAACATTTGCTTATGTTCTTTTTCTGTTCAAATAACTGGTGTGGCTTCTGTCTCCTGACTGAACCTTGACTGATCAAGAAACTGGCACCACGGCCGGGCACGGTGGCTCACACCTGTAGTCCCAGCACTTTGGGAGGCTGAGGCGGGCAGGTCAAGAGGCCAGGAGTTTCAGGCCAGCCTGGCCAACAAAGTGAAACCCCATCTCTACTAAAAATACAAAAAATTAGCCAGGTGTGGTAGTGGGTGCCTGTAATCCCAGCTACTCAGGTGGGTGAGGCACAAGAATTGCTTGAACCTGGGAGGCAGAGGTTGCAGTGAGCCAAGATCGTACCACTGCACTTCAGCCTGGGTGACAGAATGAGACCCTGTCTTTAAAAAAAAGAAGAAGAAGAAGAAAAAAGAAACTGCCAAGACTGGTTCCCAGGAACAGAGGACTTGGAATTGGTTTCCCATCCATGGGTTTAACACAGTGTTGAGCTCTTTGTCAGTGGGAAATCAGATTCCTGTAATCCAGGGCAGGCCATGGCATTGTGACTAAAAAAGCCATCATCTGTGCCTGTGATGACATTTGTGTGCCAGGGCCCACATGGCCACTGCACTGGCCACTGAGGCAGAAGCCAGGACCAAAGGACTCAGTATGACAGCATTCTGTGAGTGCGCTGGGGCCTCTGAGAAAACCTCAAGCCCAGGTCTGGGACCTGCACCCACAGACAGAGAACCCAACAAGCCTCTATGGCAGTCCCCAGAGAGTCTATTTCTTGTAGCTACAGGGCTGTTTCCAAAATCAAACACAAAGCATAACTCTGCGGGGTGTGGATGCACAGGCGGAATTGGTGGCATCACCAGGTTTGATGGGAAAGCTGGGCATGGATCTGGAAGGAGTGGGACCCTGGCACCGGACAGAGGGACATCTGACTGGACTCAGATGAAGCTGAGATTCCAGATTCGGGAGTTCCTCCGAGCCTCCCATGGCAGTGGGAACAGCTGGCTCCCCAGTGTCTGAGAATCACCTTTCTTTACTCGAAAGCCCAGTGACAGGCTTTCCTAGGGCAGACGCCTAGCGTGGGCCTCTCACCCTCCCACCCTTGCCACCCCTTGACCTGTAACTGGGGACAGGTTTCCGCATGCTGCAGGGGAGGAAACCACTTATATGCAAAACAAACTGTGAGATCTTGCCATTTCACAGCTGCAGAAACCGAAGAAGTATGTATGGGAATAGGTGCTAGTAACGTTAGGACAAAGACGAGAAATTTAACACTAGTTTGGTGGGACTGATTGCTATGAGTGGTCTTATGAGAAATTGTTCATTAACATTTTGTGCACGCAGCCGGCAGTGGCTCTAACCGCTCACTTGGTTGACTGCCTGAAGTGCAGGGCACTGCTGAGTCCGTGTTTAATGAGGCTGAGATGCCAGGCTTCTGTGGCACAGTGAACTATACAGGAGGAATCCACAGGCTTCGGGAGACAGGGGCATTGGCACGGATTTGTCATGTGCCACCTGCACATTCCATACCCAGAGGACACTCCCTCCTGGAGCCCCTGAGGAATGTACAGGTGAGGGGCCCCTTCAATAGGAAAAGTGAACTTGTCACTGCAGCAGCTGTTCCCAATGTAGTATCTTGGGGGACCCACAGCCCCTGCCTGGACACATACTCCTTTTCTCTATACCAATCTACAAGGACCCCTAGACGGAGTCTGCTTTACCTGGCAACAGGATACTTTCACCCGTGTGTCTCAAGGCTGCGGCACCCCCGCTCTCTACCTTATTATGGTCTGCAGAGAAGCTGGCCATCTTCACACTGCACACTGCCACACTGGCCCATGCGCTGATAGCGGTGTGGGCTGGACTAGACAGGCAGGAAGTAGCAGAGCTCTAGGTGCCTCTGTGAGATATGTGCCGGGCAGAGCATGAGGGACAGACCCCGCAGAACCGGGGGTCTCACACCCCAGAACGGCCTGAAACACTGGAGACACCCCTCCAATGGGAGCTTCAAGTTGTCACTCCACACTCCACCTGCCACTGCAACCACCAGGCAGGTGTTTTGGAGGCAACATGCACCACATGTGTACGTGCTACTCTGACACCGGTACTGAGTGACACTAAAAGCTGTTTTCAGAGAGGCCCAGGGCACGATCAGGCATGTGGCAAGTCCAGGCTGCTCTTCTGTGTGGCCTTAGGACCCAGCAAGGTTGATATTAGGGGTGCTGTAGGAAGCCTCCACCAAAAGGAAATTTACAGAGCAGACATTGAGGGTTTTGAGGGAAGATTAACCCCAAAACAACCATGCCTTCTCCTGCAGATAATGACTCTCCCGCTGGGAAACAGTTCCTGGCCGACTGCACCAGGCCCTTATAGAGACCAAACAAGCTAGCCACGAGATGCGGAGACCATGCAACCTGAGCTCCCCATCACGAACAGGGAACTACTAGGCCCCCCAAGCCGAATGCTGAGCATGCACAGCGACCCTCTCTCGCCAGGCCGAGACGGGGCTCGCCCAGGCCTGTGAAGTACATGGACACTGCATGGGTACATGATGCAGCTGCTCTGACACCGGTGCCTCCCCTACCTCGATCCACACCCAGACTCGGGGGAGCTCCTTATGAGCCACTGACTGATGGAGAAAAAGCTGGGCTTGGTTTACAGGTGCTTCTCCTGCTGGGCTGGCCCCTGCTGGCACTGCACAGTGTGGCTCTTGAGGACAGTGGGGATTACATCCCCCAGCAGGCAGACCTCCCAGTTGGACATTTGATTTCCACTTTATCAGGACTGAGATGGCCAGGACATATCTACATGGATCCCCAGGGTGATTCCAGTATTAAACCGAGGGGAATCTCATGGAACCCAACTGCAGGGAGTCCAGTCGGCCTCTCAAGAGACCGAAGATGGAAGCAGAAAAGCCAAGCCCGAGACTGCTCTTCCCCCTCATTCTGGTGGCACACCCTCGCATTCTGCTCTCCTCTCATTGGCTCTGTTCTACTCCTGTCTGCGCACACTCTTTCAGCTTCCCTGCAAGTGGCTCGCCTTGGTCCCTAGAGCAGTTACGGCTCTGATGACGTCGTATCCTCAGAGTAACGTGGTCATTTTGAGTACTGTTCTGCAGCTTACTTTTTCTTTTCCTAATCAATGAATCAATGAATATACTCTTGACAAACATTTTCTCCATTATGCAGTATTCTATTATATGCCTATGCGAGGATTTATTTAACTGGTCTCTTAGGTTGTTTTGGGTACGCGGCTATTTTGTTTGCTTTCTTAGCTCTTGAGGGTGTGTCAATGGCTATTACTGCAGCCTGTGTCTAGAAAATACTCAAATCACCCCTTTTCAAATACATCTTTTTACCTTGACTTAACCAATGCCAAACAACTCTCTCCCCCTATTTCCATGGTAATGCATCTCAGCTCCTCTCAACTTAGAGGCTCACAGGATAAACGGCTTCCCGGAGATGATGCTCACAGCTCCTCTTAATTACGGAAGTGATATTTACTGGATCAGTCACCTTGGACATCCATAAGGCATTGCATTTTTCATGTATTACTCACTTGACTTTCTCTAGGGTTTAGCCAAAATGAGTAATACATGGAAAGCTGGGTAAAAGTCAAATCAGCTGTTACTTGTTATTATTATTTTTTGAGAGTCTTGCTTTGTTGGAGTCTTGCTCTGTCATCCAGGCTGGAGTGCAGTGGCACAATCTCGGCTCACTGCAGCCTCCGCCTCCTGGGTTGAAGCGACCCTCCCGCCTCAGCCTCCCGAGTAGCTGGGACTACAGGTGACTTCTACCACACTCGGCTAATTTTAATTTTTGTATTCTTAACAGAGACGGGGTTTCACCATGTTGGCCAGGGTGGTCTTGAACTCCTAACCTCAAGTGATCTGCCCGCCTTGGCCTCCCAAAGCGCTGGAATTACAGGTTTGAGCCACTGTGCCCGGCCTACTGTCGCTTATTTTTAAGTTGGTAGAAATGCCGGTGGTCAGAAAATCTGGTATTTTAAAAAGTAAACCTTCTGGGGGATGGGCGTGAGGCTGAAATAGGTTGAGCCAGTAGTTCCTTTATTTTGGGAATTCAGAACTTCTCATTATTTTGTTATTGAAACATGTAGTCACAGTTCTCGAGACCGCATCTCTTAAAACAACTGCCTACTGTTTTCCCTACTATAAGATTGTATTTGGATGCTTCCTTCTTTGTGTCAAATAATCAAGAATCTTAGGGTTTTAAAAGTGACTCTGAAGGTTACCTGGTCCAAAGTGAACTCAGCAAAGAACATAAAGCCAATTTGCAAAAATCAATTGTATTTCCATACGTTAACAAGAAACAATTGGAAAATGAAATTAAACAAAAGCAAAGTCATTTTTGGTCATCCTGTAAGTCCTGGGTGGCAGGCACAGAATACAGGTAAGGGGCTCCAAGAGCCCGGGGAGCCCTCTGAGGACGCACGGCAGGTGTGGGGCATGGGAACAGAAGCAGGCCACACCTGGGGGTCCCTGGGGAGGTCTAAAGGGCCTGGTGGAGCAGGAAGAGCCTGGAAGGATCATCTAAGGCAGGGCTATGGGAGGGGGTGGATACACTCCAGGGCACCTTTCAGCTGGTGCTCCCGAAGGCTCAGGCTGAGGCAGCCCTTCCAGGGCCCTTGCTGGGTGTCTTCCCCTGCCCTGCTCTTCCTCTGATCCCTTCATGCTTCCTCCTGGGAGTGCATCCTTCATAAACCCATGAATTCTTGGTTTAGCATTTACTTCTGAGGAACTCGACTGAGGACAATCCTACTTGGAAAATATTTATGTAGAAACAATACACTAAATGTATACGCACAGATATGTGTGTAGACACCCATTTGATTACACTGAATGTAGTTTGATCACGGTATTGAGTATATTATTTAGGACTTTTTGTATGTGATTATAAGTTACATTGATATAAAGTAAGTTGCAATACGCATAATTTTAATACCAAAATGTTAAGATTCAAATTTTCTGGGAAAAGAGATCGGTAAGGTTCTTCTTTCAAAAGATTGCCCATTTTTGTGATTTTCTTCTTTTTTACCAATATTATTTCAAATTTATCATATGTTCTACTAAATAACTAAGAAAGACCATGAGGATATACTGAGCGAGGCCATACAGTTTAATAATGAACAGCTTAGGTTCTAACACACATTAGACAGGCCTGTGTTCAAAACCCCATCTTGTACTAGCTCTGTGGATTAGGTCCTTAAATTCCACAACAACTTGTGGACTAAGCTTTCTTTTTCTTTTTTTTTTGAGATGGAGTCTCACTCTGTTGCCAAGCTGGAGTGCAGTGGCACAAGCTCGGCTCACTGCAACCTCTGCCTCCTGGGTTCAAGCGACTCTCCTGTCTCAGGGTCCTGAGTAGCTGGGACTACAGGCATGCACCACCACACCCGGTTAATTTTGTATTTTTAGTACAGATGGTGTTTCATCACGTTGGCCAGGCTGGTCTCCAACTCCCAACCTCAGGTAATCTGCCAGCCTCGGCCTCCCAAAGTGCTGGGATTACAGACGTGAGCCACTGCACCTGGCCAAAGCTTTCTGACTTAAGTTCTTAAACTCTATAATTTGAGCTTCCCTGTCTTTAGGAAGAAGACAGTAATAGCACATTTCTTATAAGGTTGCCAAGATGTTGAGAATTCAGATAAAACCTCAGCACAGTGCCCGATAGTGCAAAGGACTCAATAAACGTTTGCTGGCATTGCTGGTTTTAAATTACTGTATAAAGTAGTAGCCATCCAAAAAATACCAAAAAATTCATGAAAATGGAGTACACTTACTTGTAATGTAGTATCAAAGACAACAAGCTTTGAACTGGTTGGAACGATGTCATAACACTTGTGTGACCTCATGAATCGCATGTAAACACCACTTTCTGAGTCTTCTACTGCTAAAAGAAAAAAAGGCAAAACATCAGTAATAATAAAGAATTCCCTCAATCGGATGAAGAGCATATACGTAAACCTATCACTAACAGACTTAATGGTAAAATACGAAATGTTTTCCCAGTATGATCAAGGGCCAGGCAAGGATGCTCACTCTCACTAATTCTATGAACACTATATTGGAGGTCCCAGATGGTGAAATAAGGCAAGAGAAAAAAATGAAAGGCATACATGTTGAAAAGGAAAAAGCAAAACTGTCTTTATGTGCACACTGTATGATTTTCTACATAGGAAATACCAAAGAATCTAGAAAAAGTTCCTAGATCTAAAAAGAATGAGTTTAGCAGGGTCATAGAATTAAATCAGGGTTAATAAAACAAAGACAAAGCTAATCGAATGGGGAAAAGTTGGAAGCTTTCCCTTCAAGATCTGGAACAAGGCCAGGTGCATTGGCTCACACCTGTAATCCCAGAACTCTGGGAGGCTGAGGTGGAAGGGTCACTTGAGCCCAGGAGTTCGAGACCAGCCTGGGTGGCATAGCAAGACCCAGTTTCTACAAAACTAATAAAATAAAATAAAAATAAAAATAAAGGGGAAAAAAAAGACCAGGAACAAGACAAGAATGCCTGCTGTTGCTACTCTGTTCAAGGTAGTACTGGAAGTCCTTGTCAGAGCAGTCAGGCAAGACAAAGAAATAAAAGGCATCCAAATATGGAAACAAGGAAGTTAAATTGTCCCTGTTTGCAGATGACATAATCTTATATATGGAAAACCCTAATGACTCCATCAAGAAACTGTCAAAACTAATAAATTCAGTAAAGTTACAAGATATAAACTCAACATAAAAAATCAGTAGCATTTCTATACACTAATAGACAACTATCCGAAATAGAAATAATAAAAGAATCCCATTTACAATAGCTACAAAAAAACAAAATACTCAGGAATTAATTTAACTCAGGAGGTGAAAGACCTCTAGAGTGAAAACTATAAAACACTGATGAAAGAATTGAAGCAGACCAGGTGTGGTAGCACGCGCCTGTAATCCTAGCACTTTGGGAGGCTGAGGCAGGCAGATCACCTGAGGTCAGGAGTTTGAGACCAGCCTGGCCAATATGGAGAAACCCCGTCTCTACTAAAAATACAAAAATTAGCTGGGCATGGTGGCACAGGCCTGTAATCCCAGCTTCTCAGGAGGCTGAGGCACGAGAATTGCTTGAACCTGGGAGGCGGAGGTTGTAGTGGGCTGAGATTGCGGCACTGCACTCCAGCTTTGGTTACAAAGTGAGACTGTCAAAAAAATAAATAAAAATAAAAAAAAAGAGGAAGAATTGAAGAAGATACAAATAAAAGGGAAGATATCTTGTGTTCATGGATTGGAAGAATATTGTTAAAATGACCACACTATCCACTGTGATCTACAGATTCAATGCAATGCCTATCAAAATACCAATTCTTCGCAGGACAAGAAAAAAAAAATCCTAACATTTGTATAGAACCACAAAGGACCCCAAATAGCCAAAAGAATTTTGAGCAAAAAGAACAAAGCTGAAGATATCACACTACCTGACTTCAAAATGTACTACAAAGCTATAATAACCAAAACAGCATGAAGCTGGCATAAAAACAGACACACAGACAAAGAGAATTAGAAAGCCCAGAAATAAATCCACACATTACAGCCAAATGATTTTTGACAAAGGTTCCAAGAATACACACCGGGCAAAGGGTGGTCTCTTCCATAAATGGTGCTGGAAAACCTAGATATCCACATGCAGAAAAATGAAGCTGGACTCCTATCTCTCATCAGATACAAAAATCAATGGAAAATAGATTAGAGACTGAAAATCTACGACCCAAACTACGAAACTACTAGAAGAAAACATAGGGGAAATGCTTCATGACTTTGGTCTGGGCAAATATTTTATGGATAAAGCCTCAAAAGCACATGGAACAAAAGCAAAAATGGACAAATGGGATTATATCAAACTAAAAAGCTTCTATCCTGCAAAGGAAATAATCAACAGAGTGAAGAGACAACCTACAGAATGAGAGAAAATATTTGCAAACTATACATCTGATAAAGGGTTAATATCCAAAACAGATTAGGAACTCAAACAACTCAACAGCAGGAAAAAAACCCCAAATAATCTGATTAAAAAATGGGCAAAAGAACTGAATACACATTTCTCAAAGAAGACATACAAATGGCCAACAGGTATATGAAAAAATGTCCACCATCGCTAGTCACTGGAGAAATGCAAATCAAAACCACAATGAGATATCACCTCACTCCAGTTAGAATGGCTATTATAAACAAAACAAAACAAAACAAAAGATGAGTGTTGCTGAGGATGTGGACAAAAGGGAGCCCCCCCCCCCGCTCTTTTATTGAACTATTGGTGGGAATGAAATATAAATTAGTAGAGCCATTATAGAAAACAGTACAGAGGTTCCTCAAAAAATTAAAAATAGAATTACCCTATGATCCAGCAATCCCACTACCGGGTATATACCCAAAGGAAATGAAATCAGAGTGTTCATGACACATGTGCACTGCCATGTTGAGTGCAGCACTATTCACAACAGCCAAGACATGGAATCCACCTAAGTGTCGCCAAAAGATGAATGGATAAAGAAACGTGGTACCTATAAACAATGGAGTACTATTCAACCATAAAAAAGAATGAAATCCTGACATCTGTGAGCACAGGATGAACCTAGAGGACACTGTGTTACATGAAATAAGCCAGGCGTGGAAAGACAAATACCATCCCATTCATCTGTGGAATCTAAACAAGCTGATCTCACAGGAGTAGAAAGTAGAGAGTGGTTACCAGAGGCTGGGGAGGGAATGGGGTGGGGGTATGAGGAGAGGTTGGTCAGTTACAGTCAGACAGGAGGAATGCATTCTGGTGTTCTATTGCACAGTGGGGTGACTATAGTTAACAATAACGTATTGTATAGTTCAAAATAGCTAGAAGGGAGGATTTTGAATGTTCCTGCCATAAAGAAATGATACGTGTTTTAGGTGACAGATATACTAATTATCCTGATTTTATCAGTACACAATATATACATGTACTAAAACATCAAACTGTATCCCATAAATATGTACAATTATGTGTCAACCAAAAATAAAACTTAAAAAAAGGAAAAAAGTACAATAAAGCAAATGCAAATAGAAAAAAAAGGCTACTATATTTGTATCTACTAACTCATTGTTAGCAGACAGAAATTTAAAAAAATTTTAAAGGTACTATTTACATAAATGCTGTATGGAAATACGGACTTACACAGGGAACAGAGAGCACTGAAAATGGTAACAATGTGGACAAATATACAAATGCTTTCAAAAATTATTTAAATCTCTCTAAAAGCTAATTGACAATTTATTTTTTTATGTATTTTTTTTTTTTGAGACAGAGTTTAGCTCTTGTTGCCCAGGCTGGAGTGCAGTGGCTAGATCTTGGCTCACTGCAACCTCTGCCTCCAAGGTTCAAGAGATTCTCCTGCCTCAGCCTCCCGAGTAGCTGGGATTACAGGTGCACACCATCACACCTGGCTAATATTTGTATTTTTAGTAGAGACGGGGTTTCACCATGTTGGCCAGGCTGGTCTTGAACTCCTGACCTCAGGTGATCTTGCATGGCTCGGCCTCCCAAAGTGCTGGGATTACAGGTGTGAGCCACTGTGCCCAGCCCTAACTGACAATTTAAACAAAAATAATGACAATGTATTGTGGGGTTGATAGCACACTGATAAGGAAAAGGCAACACCGTCCAACCAATCATGGAAATCTAGGAGTCACCCTTGCCAATGTCCTCTTGTCACCCTAACCAATTTATCACAATGCCTTGATTTTGCACCCCAGAACCCTCAAATCCACTCATTTCTCTGCCTCCATGGCCACCCCCTACATATCCTAACTTCCTCACCAATCCTTCTGCCCCCTGCATCTTCCACAGCTGTCCACACTGCATCCAGGAAGATTTTGCCAGATGCAAATATAATCTAATCCAGATGCTTTAGAATAAAGGCAAAACCCTTGAAGTCACCTAGAACAGCAGTCCCTAGGACTGGTTTTGTGGAAGACAATTTTTCCACTGGGGGTGGTAGTGGGTGGTTTCAGGATGAAACTGTTCCACCTCAGATCATCAGGCACCAGATTCTCATCAGGAGCACACAACCTAGATCCCTCGTGGGCACAGTTCACCATCGGGTTTGGACTCCTATGAGACACTAAAGCTGTCCCTAATCTGAGAGGATGCACAGCTCAGGCCATAATGCTGGCTCACCCGCCCCTTGCCTCCTGCTGTGCAGCCCATTTCCTAACAGGCCAGGGAACTGTACTGGTTCATGGCCCCAGGATTGGGGACCCCTGACCTATAAGACCTGGGAGGCCTGGCCCCCGCCTACCTCCCTGCCTCTTGTATTAAACACTCCTGCTCCGTATTTTCTCCAACCCCCTATTTTTTTCCAGTCCTCCATCAGTGCTCTGCTGTCTCTTCCATGGGGCCTGACACTACTGCTTCCTCTGCCTGAAATACTTTCTCCGTCTGTTTGTGGCCCAGTGAACTCCTTCATTAGACCTTGGCTCAAGGATATGACTGGTGAGTCATGGAACCTGAATTTGAACTTGAAGCCTCTGGATTCCAAAGCTGTGTTCTCAGCCAAGCTGATCCCCCTCCTTCCCTCGGCCCGCCACAACTGCTTTCCCCGTTCTGCCGAAATCCTTCCCTATTTTCATGGGTCAGTCCAAATTATGCCATCTGCAAGAGACATCCTTGACAGCTCCATTCAGCCCACACCGATCTGTGCATTTTAGGAAGATCTGGACTACTTGGGAAATATCTGAGAAGAAAAACATGTAGTGTATAAGCTAATTAGCAAAACAAGTGTTAAACAAGTGATACTAACCAAGCTCTTTGGCTGTGGAAAGGAGCCCCACAATTTTGTATATTTCCTACTGTGGACATCCATGCAGCTGGTTTGCCAATTTCATGACAAATGATGTGGACCACTCTCAAGTCTATTTTCATTCTGACCTCTCTTTGGGATATTACAATTTATAATGCAGAGTTTTGTCACTGCAACTGCCTCCTGGATATTTCTCTCTCAAATGTCTCCCTCCTGATGTGGAATAAATTCCAGACGTCTCCTGTCTCATTCATGCATCTCCACATCTGGCTTCTCCGCAGCCTTATTTCCCAGCTCCTGGTTTCATGTCTAAGCAAACGGTCTCCCTGTCAGTCTCCTGTAGCCTTTGACCTCTCCCTTCTTGCCCTTGTTCACTCACTTGCCTTAAACGTCCTCCTCCTTGACTTTTCCTTGTTCAATTTCAATCCAACCTCAACGGACATCTTTTCCCACAAAAGAAGTGAACGTCTGAGTGCTCATTACGGACCAGGTACTGCAATAAATCACCTCACTTAACTGATGTGACAACCTCGAGGAATACAGCTTCATTTTTTCATTTTACCTCTGAGGAAACCGAGGCTAGGAGAAGCTGCGTCACTTGCCCCAAATCAGACGGTGAAGTAGTGACCCAAGCGGGATTTGAAGCTCTGTCCCAGGCTCCAGTAGCTCCTTATTAAACTCACTTCCCTCACTCAACGGTGCGCTCATCTGAGCGCACCTGGGGAGGACCCCTGTGTCCTGGGCCCTGTCCTGGGGTTACCCACAGGGGGACACAATGACCGGTTATCCACCCTCAAAGCTTATGCATCAGCCCAGGGTGAGCACTGGATCACCTGAGAACACACAGGTGGGTCACCAACCCTGACCTGGAAAGGGTAAGGAAATCTAAAATGACTTCTTCCCCTGAACGCCAACAGCATTTTACTTCTGTCTCATCAGTTATTACCTTCTATCTCGTTAACAGTGACTGTGTATTTCTAATATTTTTTTCCTTCCTGGGTGATAATTTATTTGAATGATCAGTATCTTACTCAAGTAATCCATACATTAATTCAGTCTATAAATATTTATTGCATATTGTCTAGTGTGCATTCCTCCCAAAGCTGATCCTGAGACCATGGAAAGTTAGGGGAGGAAAAATTCAAAAGAAAGGGTGCCCAGTAAGCAGGTTATACCTTCGTGACCCTGGAGTGAAGCTATGAGGGAGGATGCTCTGAGGCTGTACAGACCTCAGAACTGTCTCGTGGGAGGACCACTCCTGCCCTGCCTGGGTTCCAGGTAATTCCTGGGACATCACCCCCGTCATTTCTACCCACAAGCCCAGTTGCCAAAGAATGTCCTGGGGCAGAGATGTTGAAATATGAGAACTTGGATGAGACAGGATTCTGGTGAGGCACCCGCAGCATCCACTGTGCGAGAGGCGGGGATGCCGCAGGGAAGACAACAAACACAACCCTTGTCCTTACAGACACTGCAAACCAATGGAGGGGACAGTGACTGTCATCACACTGCCACCAGCACTACCAAGGACAAGCTCGGGGTTCGTGAATGAATAGCAGCGGCTGTCAGGGAGGGAACGGATGGACAGATGAAGTTTCAGTTGGTGTGCTCCCATGTTTCTCAAAACACTGATAGACTAGACAGTGAGGGCCCTGCTTAAGAAAGGCCTGAAACAGCAAGCTCTCATGAGAGCGGCACAGAGAGATCTGGTCCGTGTCCGCCATCGCTGCTAAGGATGACGCTCCTCGCGCAGCCGCATGCGCAGTCTCCTCATGCCTACTGAGTGTGGAATTGGCGCAAAACAAAAGCCAAAGATCAGGGCAGTCAAGCATACATTCAGCCAGTATTTAAGTTACAAATTGCCTGCCAAATCTAACATCCTAAAATTCAAAAGCAAGAAATCAAGAGGGAGGCTAAGTATAGTAAAATGTAACAAACCATCTCCCAGAAAGGAAATCTCAGAAGATAATTTTGTTCATTCATTAAATCAAGAATTTTCATAAAAGAGGTACACATATTATAGACATATTATACATGTTAGTATTACTATATGAATATGTGAAATAATTGAAAATAATATAGGGCAGGAATGTTCAAACTTACAGAATTTTTGAAAATCTGTAAGTTTGGTGTTAGATTATATTTTTAATATACCATTTTAATGTGTTGATTTCTAAATTATTTCAATGAACATTGTATTTTGAATAAATATATGTTCCAGATTTACAAAAAAGTTGCAAAGCTGGAACAGTTCCTATATACTCCATATCAGGTTCCCCCAAGTTTATCATCTTACGTTATTGATATGGTTTGGCTTCGTGTCCCCACCCAAATCTCATCTTGAATTGTAGTTCCCATAATCCCCACGTGCCAAGGGCAGGACCTGCTGGGAGGTGATTGGATCATGGGGGCAGTTTCCTCCATGCTGTTCTTGTGATAGTGCCTGAGTTTTCAGGAGATCTGAGAGTTTTATAAGGCAGTTTTCTCTGCCCTCGCTCTCTCTGTTGCCTGCTACCACGAAAGACGTGCCTCTTCCCGTTCAGCCATGATTGTAAGTTTCCTGAGGCCCCTCCAGCCATGCAGAACTGTGAGTCAATTAAACCGCTTTCCTTTATAAATTACCCACCCAGTCTCAGGTAGCCTATTTAAAGCAGTGTGAGAACACACGGTTTTTCTCAGTCTTTGGGTTACACAGTTTCATTCTCATCATCACACGGAGGCACCCGCTCCATACTCACCACACACGGAGGCACACGCTCCATACTCACCGCACACGGAGGGACACGCTCCGTCCTCACCGCACACGGAGGGACACGCTCCGTCCTCACCGCACACGGAGGGACACGCTCCGTCCTCACCGCACACGGAGGGACACGCTCCGTCCTCACCGCACACGGAGGGACACGCTCCGTCCTCACCGCACACGGAGGGACACGCTCCGTCCTCACCGCACACGGAGGGACACGCTCCGTCCTCACCGCACACGGAGGCACCCGCTCCGTCCTCACCGCACACGGAGGGACACGCTCCGTCCTCACCGCACACGGAGGGACACGCTCCATCCTCACCGCACACGGAGGGACACGCTCCGTCCTCACCGCACACGGAGGCACCCGCTCCGTCCTCACCGCACACGGAGGGACACGCTCCGTCCTCACCGCACACGGAGGCACCCGCTCCGTCCTCACCGCACACGGAGGGACACGCTCCGTCCTCACCGCACACGGAGGGACACGCTCCGTCCTCACCGCACACGGAGGGACCCGCTCCGTCCTCATCATCATACTGAGGGTACACATGCCTTCTCATCCCATCCTATCCAGGGTGCCTAAAATCAACGTGACTCATCACCTTAATCACCTGAGTGAAGTCATATTTGTCAGGTTTCTCCAAGTAGAGGTACTCTTTCCCTCCTCCTTTATGTACTGTAATCTTTTTAAGAAGGTCACTAGGACCCCTCACTTAATGGCAAGGAGTTATGCCCTACCTCCTTGTTTAAAATAATTATGTACAGGAGAGTTATTTATTTATCTGATCATTTATTCATATCAGTGTAGACTCATGGATATTTACTTCAACCTAGGTATAATCCAATCCTAGGTTAGGAGCGGTCAGAGGCTGTGCCCCAGCCAGTCAGGCACCCACCTGTGGCTGATGGACTGGTGGGTGGCTTGTGGAGCCCTCTCCTAGTTAAGACAGTTTCCAAGCCTGCCATGGCTTAGACTTTCTGGCAGGTCCTCCAGCACTGCCTTCACACACAGGCAGCCCCCTAGTTGGCTGGGGAGCTGTGGGAGTGTGGCTTGGTGCTCCCTGCGTGGGCTTCCTCCGTCATCCAGGGAGGTGTGCAGAGCTGGGCTCTCCTGCCTCTGTCCTGCATGCACACAGCCTCCAGGGCAGCTGGAAATGTGTTTCCCCATCATCAACATCTTGCATTAGCATGGTGCAGCGGTTATAGTTAAGCAGCCAAGAAAATCATAATGAATGTGTCTAGGTACAGTGGCTCCCACCTGTAATTCCAGCACTTTGGGAGGCCGAGGCAGGAGGAGCCCTGGAGGCTAGGAGTTTGAGACCAGCCTGGGCAACATAGTGAGATCCCGTTTCTACAAAACATAAAAAAAATTAGCCAGGTGTGGTGGTGCACACCTATGGCCCCAGCCTACTCAGGAGGCTGAGGTGGGAGGGTCTCTTGAGCCAGGAGGTTGAGGCTGCAGTGAGCTGTGATTGTGCTACTGCCCTCCAGCCTGGGTGACAGAGCAAGACTCTGTCACACACACATACACACACACATACACACACACCCCAACAATGTATTAACAAAAGTCTCCACATTATTCAGATTTCCTTATTTTTTCCTTAATGCCCTGTGTCTGTCTCACGATCCCGTCCAGGATTCCACATGATGGTCGGGAGCATCTCCTCGGGCTCCTCCTGGCTGCGACAGTTTCTCAGACCCTCCTTGTTGTGATGGCCTTGGAAGCTTTGAAGTTCTGATGAGGCACTTTGGAGGATGCCCATTGGCTGGAAGAGGTCTCATGCTTTTCTCAAGATTAGAACCTCTGTAACTGGGTTCCAGGTTTGGGGGAGGATCTACGACATTTTTTAAAAATATAAAGCACTCGACCAAACAAAGTAACATGTTAAATATTTACTTATTTATTTATTTTGGAGACAGGGTCTCGCTCTGTCACCCAGGCTGGAGTGCAGTGGCACAATCTCAACTCATCGCAACCTCCACCTCCAGGGTTCAAGCAATTCTTGTTCCTCAGCCTCCTGAGTAGCTTGGATTATAGGTGTGGGAAAACAAGCCTGGCTAATCCTTGTATTTTTAGTAGAGACGGGGTTTCACCATGTTGGCCAGGCTGGTCTCAAACTCCTGACCTCAAGTGATCTGCCTGCCTGAGCCTCCCAAAGTGCTGGGATTACAGGTGTGAGCCATCACACCCAGCCGTAAAAGGTTAAATATTTAAAATAAATTATAATAAACCCTCTTTGAATGTGTAAAACCAGTTAAAAATAATTTTAAAAACAAAAATAAAATTTATAATAAAATTTCTTTAAAAAATTTTTTTAAATTAAATTTTATGGCTGGGTGCAGTGGCTCACGCCTGTAATCCCAGCACTTTGGGAGGCCAAGGCGGGTGGATTGCTTGAGAGGCCAGGAGTTTGAGACTATCCTGGGCAACATGGCGAAACCCCGTCTCTACTAAAAATACAAAAATTAGCTGTGCATAGTGGTGCATGCCTGTAATCCCAGCTACTTGGCAGGCTGAGGCACAAGAATTGCTTCAGGCCAGGTGCAGTGGCTCACACCTGTAATCCCAGCACTTTGGGAGGCCGAGGTGGGTGGATCACAAGGTCATGAGATCGAGACCATCCTAGCCAACATGGTGAAACCCTGTCTCTACTAAAAATAGAAAAATTAGCCTGGCATGATAGCACGCACCTGTAATCCCAGCCACACAGGAGGCTGAGGCAGAAGAATCGCTTGAACCCTGGAGGCGGAGGTTGCAGTGAACTGAGATTGTGCCACTGCACTCCAGCCTGGCGACAGAGCGAGACTCCGTCTCAAAAAAAAAAAAAAAAAAAAGAATTGCTTCAACCCAGGACATGGAGGTTGCAGTGAGCTGAGATTGTGCTACTACACTCCAGCCTGGGGAACAGAATGGTACTCTGCCTCAAAAAAAGAAAAATAATAATTAATTTTAAATAGAGATGAGGTCTTACTATGTTGCCCAAGCTGGTCTCAAACTCCCAGGCTCAAGTGATCCACCTGCCTTGGCTTCCCAAACTTCTGGGATTACAGGCGTGAGCCACCTACAAATTATAATAAAATTTCTGTTGAGTGGGAATAAGGACAGATTATTACTGATGTAATAAAACAACATCAATCACAACAAAAGTATAAGCTTTTTAAGCTAGGAAAATACAGTAAAATATAAAACGTTCCTTTTTAATGTCGCTTTTCTACTTTTAGTATAAACTTTACGATTATAGGTGGCACCATCTGTGTTAGTTACATTATGGTGAAGTCTCACATTGTACTTGGAGGAAGAAATAAATTGAAACAGAGTGAAAATGAGTGTAATTTGGAGTTATACAACAACAACAACAAAACCCACCCAAATTGTTCAACAACAGGCTGTTTAAAATATATTATCAAAATTCCTTGGCCGCGTGCGGTGGCTCACGCCTGTAATCCCAGCATTTTGGGAGGCTGAGCTGGGTGGATCACCTGAGGTCAGGAATTCGAGACCAGCCTGGGCAACATGGTGAATCCCCATCTCTATGAAAAATACAAAAATCAGCCGGGCGTGGTGACATGTGCCTGTAATCCCAGCTACCTGGGAGGCTGAGGTAGAGGAACGGCTGGAACCCGGGAGGTGGAGGCTGCAGTGAGCCGAGATCCTACCACTGCACTCCAGTCTGTGCAACAGAGCAAGACTCCGTCTCAAAAAAATAAATAAAATAAAATAAATTATCAAAATTCCTGAGAGGGCAAGAAGTTCCAACTCCATATTCAAAAGCTAACTGAGGTTAAGATATTAACACAATGCTCCCTTCTTGCTTTTGATATTTTCAGTGTTATAGGATAGAAGCATAATTACAGAGTATCACACTGGGACTTGAGTTACTGCTCTACAAAAGGAAGAAACCTGTTTGCAGACTGATGTTAAATCTCACTACTCTTTAAACAGATGCCAACCCAACATTATTATGCAAGGGAGTTGCTAAAGAAGAATATGAGTAAGTAGCAAGTTTATATTAAAGTGTTTAATTCATAAAGGTTAATAACAAACTTTTACAAATGCAACATCTAAGTTTAAATGCAAGCAATTATAAACACTAAATTGAAATATTGGAAGTATTTCTCCTATTAAAAACAAATCTGATTACATAATATGCTTGTTTGGTACCTTTGTTTGTTTTTTTGAGACAGGGTCTCACTCTGCCACCCAGGATGGACTGCAGTGGTGCGATCATGGCTCACTGCAGCCTTGAACTCTCAGGCTCAAGCAATCCTAGCAGCTGAGACTACAGATGCCTGCCATTACATCTGGCTAACTTTTTTATTCTGTATTTTTTTTTTTGTAGTGATGGGGTCTCACTATGTTGACCAGGCTGGTCTTGCACTTTTGGCCTCAAGCCTCAGCCTTCCAAAGCACTGTGGTTATAAGCATGAGTCACTGTGCCTGGCTGCTCGTGTCCTCCCTACCTACACAATATACCCTGTATCATTCAAGGTTCTAGAACTCGAACTCTAACCTACCTTTCCAGCCTCATCTCCTATCACATCCCCTAGGAATCTCATCTCTAGGATCATTTCAACATATCCTTTTCAAAGGAAGGGTTTGAACTTTGGGAAATCCAGTTTTGAGAATGCGTTCCTCATGCTTCTGTTCTGTGCCTCTGCACACACTATTCTTTCTTCCTCAACAGTGCCTTCCCTGTTCTCCTATGGTCACCTGACATCCTGCTTGCCTTTCTGCAGTGGGCTGAACAGTGGCCTCCGCAAAAAGACAGGTCCACTGGAAACATCAGAATGAGACCTTATTTGCAATAAGGGTCTCTGCAGATGTAACTAAGGTGAGGATCTGGAGATGAGGTTATCCCGGATTAGGGTGGGCCCTAAATCCAATGACAAGTGTCCTTATAAGAGAGAGAGAGAAGATGCAGCGCGGCACGGAGGGGAGGGCCACGTGAAGACAGGTGGAGGCTGGGGCGACGCAGCGACAAGCCAAGGATGCCAAGGACTGCCGGCAACAGCAGGAGCTGAGGGCAGCGTGGGGCGGATTCTCCCTCAGCCTCCAGAAGGAACCACCCCTGCTGAGGACTTAGGAACCAACCCTGCTGATGACTTACTCCAGACTTCTGGCCTCCAGAACTACAAGGAAATAAACTTCTGTTGTCTAAGCCACCAAGTTGTGGCATCCTGGGAAACTAATAGGCCTTCAAAGTTCAGTTCAAAGGCTACTTCCTCCCATAAAACCTTCCCTTTGAGCCCCTCAGGTCGGAATTAACTGCTCCAGTTTTGACATGCCTGTTAATGCTTCGTGAGTCACACACACCTTGTACTGAAGTTACAGGTCTGTTCTTCCCTTAGACATGCGCACCGGGGGGCAGCAGTGGACGTCCCTTGCTCTTCTCTATAATCCAGGCCCCTGGAAGGTTCATTGTAGATATCAGGCATGAGTTAATGCCTGGTATCTTGCAAGTCACTGAAGAAGCACAGATCAAATTTGAGAGGGGCAAGTACGGATCTGAGATGACTATATTGTGTTCCTGACCTCAGAGAGGAAATGTCAGCAAATGAAGCACGCAGGTTTAAAAGAACACTGGTGAATCTAGATTTAATAACCAGTATAAAAAAACAAAACAAAACAAAAACCTTTATATACCTTTATAAGATTAAAGGATTACCTTTATATTCCTTTATAAGATTAAAGGATTAGACATGGATTTTTTTTTTTGTAAGAGAAATAATGCACCTATGAAAGTGCCTCATGTGATTTTTTTCTCTTTCTTTCTTTCTTTTTTGTTCAAGATGGGGTCGCACACTATGTTGCCCAGCCTGGCCTCAAACTCCTTGGTTCAAGGGATTCTCCCACCTCAGCCTCCCACATAGCTGGGACTATAGGCATACACCACTGCAATTTTTGTTTTTTTAAGTGAAACAGCATTGATCTAAATAAAGCTTTAACATGTTTACAAGTATATTTTATATTGAAGCTATTTTCTAATTCTATTAGACAAAAAAATGCAGTTGAATTGAATAAGATTGCAGAAGACCTTCAAATGTTCATTCTACCATACACATTTTAAAAACACCTGCAAATACAGCAAACAACTGGACAAGTATGTTTCAGAGATAAGCACTACAGTCATCAATTACTTTTTCTGAAACCCATTTACACAGAATTTTAATTTAGAAAGAATTTATATAAAAAAAATGTGTTGTAAGACGGTGTAATTCTTTGGTCTTCTTGGCCTTAATTCTATGAAAATGAACAAGACAGACTATCACTAATCATTTATTAGTCAGGCAAAAATACTAAAGGATAATTTAACAGACACATACCAGTATGAAATTCATTTTACTTATACACCTTAATCAAACTAAGAGCAGGATAGTGACTCAAAATGGATTTCAACGTGTCCTATTTATAAAAATAACAACTGCTAAAATAATCCACTACTAACCAGACAGTTACCATCAATCTGCCCGTCCCAGGTTCTCTCCCCACTGATACTGGCAACACCCACACAGTGAGGGAATAGACGCCCCGAGAAGCAGAGCGTGAGGACTCACTTCCCACCCTCAAGTTCCACACTTCTTTTGGTCCAGTCCTGGAACTCTTGTTTAGTCTAGAAGGAGGATTGTCCCATCACTCCTGGGAATGGTTACTCCAATTTCAGAAGGGGTTGGCCTCAACTAGAAAAGGAAGCTTCTAACGTGAGAAGAAAAGAAGACCTTCTGAGAAAACAGTCCAGGCTTAGCGGTTCCGTGCCCACCATTTGGGGCTCCCTCACCACACGATCTGGGTGACTGACTGCAGACACACCTCTCCTGCCATGAGCAGCACGAACTTGCTGACCTAGTCCTATCACCTGTGTAGCTGGCTCTACCCCGGAGGCTGCCAACACCACCTTTATCTCATGCTCCACATTTTAATATGTCAACATACACAGGGACTGCTGCTTACTTTCCAGACTATAAGAACCTTAGTGTGGCTCACATCTGTAATCCCAGCACTTTCGGAGGCCGAGGTGGGCGGAACACGAGGTCAGGAGATCGAGACCATCCTGGCTAACACGGTGAAACCCCGTCTCTACTAAAAATACAAAACCAAAATTATCCGGGCATGGTGGCGGGTGCCTGTAGTCCCAGCTACTTGGGAGACTGAGACGGGAGAATGGCGTCAACCTGGGAGGCGGAGCTTGCAGCAAGCCGAGATTGCGCCACTGCACTCCAGCCTGGGCGACAGAGCGAGTCTTCATTTCAAAACAAACAAACAAACATTTTAGTGTGGGCTGGGCGCGGTGGCTTACGGCTGTAATCCCAGCACTTTGGGAGACCGAGGCAGGCGGATCACGAGGTCAAAAGATTGAGACCATCCTGACCAACATGGTGAAACCCTGTGTCAACTGAAAATACAAAAATTAGCTGGGCGTGGTGGTGCGCACCTGTAGTCTCAGCTACTCTGGAGGCTGAGGCAGGAGAATTGCTTGAACCCAGGAGGCAGAAGTTGCAGTGAACTGATATCGCGCCACTGCACTCCAGCCTGGGGGACAGAGCGAGACTCCATCTCAAAAACAAAAAACAAAAAACAAAGCCTTAGTGTGTTAGCATATTATAAATATTTTTTCTTTTCTTTTTTTTTTTTTTTTTTTGAGATGGAGTCTTGCTCTGTCACCCAGGCTGCAGTGCAGTGGTGCAATTTTGCCTTCTCCTGGGAGTGGTGCAACCTCCATCTCCTGGGTTTAAGTGATTCTCCTGCCTTAGCTTCCTGAGTAGCTGGGATTTCAGGCGCCCACCCCCATGCCTAACTAATTTTTGTACTTTTTTTGGTAGAGATGGGGTTTCACCATGTTGGCCAGGCTGGTTTTGAACCTCTGACCGCAGGTGATCCGTCCACCTTGGCCTCCCAAAGTGCTGGGATTACAGGCGTGAGCCACCACACCCAGCCAATATTTTCAATTCAAAGTTGAGAAAATGGCCACAGGGAGCTCTAAATAAGTCATTTTTTATATTCTCTGCTTTTAAGTCAAAAGAAGGAACAGAGAAGAGATGCGTGCAGGGTGGGAGCAGAGCACACTGGGGTCAGAATGCCAAGGAGGACTTCCCCATCTGGAACCCACACACAGAGAGCAGCGGAGTGCTGATCGATGGTTACACCCCTCGGCATCTTCCTCTCTGTATTCTATACCCATTATGCGAAGATTTTGTCCACAGAACCACCTTCGTTTACTAAGCAATGCTTGCTGCGGTTTCAAAGGTGCTCAGATCCAGGGCGGTGCAGCGCTTGCCAGAGGCCGCCCTGTTCCAGGATCCGTTCCTCAGCTTCATGCTTAATTTTGTAACCATCAGTCTTCTAGGGACTTGGTGATTCAAGTGAAATAAATCAGTAAGTGATGAGGAAACTGAAATATCAATTAAGTGGTAAAGAGATGGAGGCCAGGTTAGTGAGCACAGACTGAGAAAGGAATGATCTGATCCATGAGTGAGGCGTGGATCCAGCAGAGCCGAGCCCACCCCATCCCACCAGGACAAGTGGCAGGAACCGCAGGGAAAGCTGGAAACACAACAGCTTTCTTAGAAAAGACGTTGGCGCACTTACGTGGGGTGGTCCAGATCTCACACTCATCATCTCAGACAACATTAAGATGGTAAAAAAGCAGTCTCGGGCCGGGCACGGTGGCCCATACCTGTAATCCCAGCACTTTGGGAGGACGAGGCGGGCAGATTACTTGAGGTCAGGAGTTCGAGACCAGTCAGGCCAACATGAAACCTCAGCTAAGATACAAAAATTAGCTGGACGTGGTGGTGCACACCTGTGGTCCCAGCTACTCGAGAGACTGAGGCTTGAGAATGTCTTGAACCTGGGAGGCGGAGGATGCAGTGAGCTGAGATTGTGTCACCGCACTCCAGCCTGGACGACACAGTGAGACTCCGTCAGCACCAATGTGTTACTCCCTTCAGCACTTTCTGTGCTCCCTTTTGTGGGAGGACAGCGACACCAGCATCACTAAAGGAGCTGAATTAAATGCAGTGCTTTTGACTTTGGACTTACATGCAGAGAGAAAGAGGAGAGTTGAGTAACATGCTCAGCCTGTCTCTCCCCAGGATGCCCATCCTCTGCTGAACCTGCCCGCAGGTTTGGGAGCCGCTGAGTGCACTGCAGAGTGAGCGTCAGCTACCACAGTCCCTTCTTGCAGGGTGTTCCTAGTTTAATCCTTATCTGTACTTGTGAAATGGAAGGTTTATGCCTTGCTAGAGAGCTTTTAGGTATAAGGCTTGTCAACTCTAAAATCACACTGCAGAGACCTGCAGTGTGCCTCTCCCCTACTGACCCACACAGGTAGGGGACAGAGTTGGAGGCCCCAAGCACAGAGCCCTGCCTAGGCAAGACACTGCCACTGCTGCTCACTGTGAAGCAACCTGGGGAACCCCCTGCTTCCACCTGTTCTGTCCCATCAGCAGGCGTAGGGGCTGCTGCCATGGTCTGGTTCTGCCCCCCATCACTCCAACTCTGTGCACTGCCTGGCGGTTGTCACCAGTCCAGGGGTCTGACCAGCGTACCCACCTCTGCCTGCTCACCTTCATAGTGCACAGCCCCATTTCTAAGATGATGCTCAGCGAGTGACCGTCTATGGGACCATTCCCAAAGGCACAGGTGCATGGGGAACCCCAAGAAATAGTGCAATAACCTGAAGCTGTTACCAGCCCTAGACCTGGGGTGAGGAACAGTTACAAAACCTGGAAGGAGAGAGTTTCAGGTAGAGCCAGTCCCCTTGGGTGGGGCAGCGACCTTCATTCGAGCAGTCCAGCCAGGTAGCGGCAGCCTCCCAGGATGAGGGAGCTACAGGAGTAACCACCTGCCTCCTCTGGGGGCTCCTCACTGGCTAAGCTCAACAGGACCCCAGAATACGGGAGCCCAGCCGATGTGTCCCACACTCAGCCTCCCTGGTGAGAAAGACAGGTGAGGCAGGGTGAAAATGGGACCTGGGGGCAAACAGGAGCTACCTGCGGCACTCTAAGACTGGGCAGATGGAAGAAAGACAGTTGGGGTTGACGCAGTATCTTCTACAATAACGCCTGAAATAACTTAAACTTTGTTTTCAGAAATTATTATTTGTAATAGCAATAAAAGGCATGAACATGTTTTCCAAAAATAACAACAGTGATATACACAGGTTGAGCATCCCAAATCTGAAAACCTGAAATCTGAAATGCTCCAAAATCCAAATTTTTTTGAGCATCCATACTACACTCAAGGGAAAAGCTCATCAGAGCATTTCAGATTTTGGATTTTTGAATTAGGAATGCTCAACTGGTATGTATGATGCAAATACTCAAAAATCTGAAAAAATACTAAATCTGAAACATTCCCAGTCCCGAGCATTTTGGTTTTTATTTTATATATGTTTGAGATGGAGTCTCGTTCTGTCACCCAGGCTGGAGTGCAGTGGTAGGATCTAGGCTCACTGCAACCTCTGGCTTCTGGGTTCAAGTGATTCTCCTGACTCAGCCTCCCAAGCAGCTGGGATTACAGGCACCCACCACCACGCCTGGCTAATTTTTGTATTTTTAGTAGTGATGGGGTTTCGCCACGTTGGTCAGGCTGGTCTTGAACTCCTGACCTCAGGTGATCTGCCCAGCTTGGCCTCCCAAAGTGCTTACAGGTGTGAGCCACTGTGCCCGGCAGCAGTCCCAAGCATTTTTTTTTTTTTTTTGAGATGGAGTCTCGCTCTGTTGCCCAGGCTGGAGTGCAGTGGACGATCTCGGCTCACTGCAACCTCTATCTCCCGGGTTCAAGCGATTCTCCTGCCTCAGCCTCCCAAGTAGCTGGGATTACAGGCGCACACCACCACCCCTGGCTAAGTTTCATATTTTTGGTAGAGACAGGCTTTCGCTATGTTGGTCAGGCTGGTCTCGAACTTCTGACCTCAGGTGATCCACCTTACCTCCAACTCAGACACCCCCGCTCCAGTGACCAACTCTCTGGTCTCACTGGAGCCGACCAGGAGGTGCCCCGTTCCCACGGCTATGCTGAGCGCCCCAGCCAGCACTCCAACACGGCCTGTCAGGGGAGGTGACGCTGTCTCCAGCTGTGTCTTGAAGGCAGGAAAAGGGATTCCAGGCAGAGGCCTGAGCCCCTCAGATCTGAGGGTATCCTCAGGAGCTCGCAGGGGACATGGGGCAGGGGCTGGCACCCCATGGCGATGGGGGAGCAGCAGCAGGGTGGCAGGGAGGCCATGGGGTCGGTTACGTTGGGCGCTTGGCATGTGCTCTGTACTACTTTATCCTGGAGGTGACCAGAAGCCACACAGGGGCTCACACAGGAGGCTGAAAAAATCAGGGCTGCGTGGACGCTCAGTCAGAGGAGAAAAGAGGCAGAGCAGTCAGTGGACGTCTCTGAGACCCTGCTCCCTCCATCGTGACTCTCCGTCCCATCCCTGCGTGCTCTCCTTCACCTCCGCCCCTCACCAGCTTGCTTCCCGCTCTCTCTCCCCATCTCCACTTGACCTTGTGGTGGTTCACTCCACTCCACTGCCTTTCTTTCAGAGCAAACAGCTCGCAGTGATGATCTGTGGCCCTAAGCCCACTTTGCCAGGACCGCTCCAGTTCAGCACCATGGAATGGGACTCCACCTGGGCCTTCTGAGTCCCCATCACCAGCAACCACCTGGCACTAATCACAATGGCTTTTCTGCAAACTCCTTGCCGACCACTGATCACTTGGCACTGGGCTCTCAGCCCCAGTCTCCTCACCTTTACACTGGAACAAAAGAGCCTCAAAGGGGCCATGTGGATCCAGAGGGAACCTCGAGAGAGGAGCCGTGTGGATCTAGAGGGAACCTCGAGAGAGGAGCCGTATGGATCCAGAGGGAACCTCGAGAGAGGAGCCGTGTGGATCCAGAGGGAACCCCGAGACAGAAGCCGTGTGGATCCAGAGGGAACCTCGAGACAGAAGCCGTGTGGATCCAGAGGGAACCCCCAGAGAGGAGCTGTGCAGATCCAGAGAGAACCCCGAGAAAGGAGCTGTTTTTTGTTCCTGCATTAGTTTGCTAAAGACAATGGCTTCCAGCTCCACCCATGTTCCTGGAAAGGGCATGATCTCATTCTTTTTTATGCCTATATAGTATTCCATGGTGTATATGTACCACATTTTCTTTATCCAATCCACCACTGATGGGCATTTAGTTTGATTCCATGTCTTTGCTATTGTGAATAGTGCTGCAATGGACATACACATGCATGTGCCTTTATGGTAGAACAATTTATATTCCTTTGGGTATCCACCCGGTAATGGGATTGCTAGGTCAAATGGCAGGATTAAAGACTTAAATGTAAAATTGAAAATTATAATAACCTGGAAGATGACCTAGGAAATACCATTCTGGACATACAAATGGGCACAGATTTCGTGATGAAGATGCCAAAAGCAATTGCAACAAAGGCAAAAATTGACAAGTGGGATCTAAGTAAACTTAAGAGCTTCTGCACGGCAAAATAAACTATCAACAGAGTGAAGAGACAACCTACAGAATGGGAGAAAATATTTACAAAGGATGCATCCAACAAAGGTCCAATATCCAGGATCAATAAGGAACTTAAACAAATTGACAAGAAAAAATCAAACAACCCAATTAAAAAGTGGGCAAAGGACATGAATGGACATTTTTCAAAAGAAGACATACACATGGCTAACAAGAATATGAAAAAAAGCTCAACACTACTGCTCATTAGAGAAATGCAAATCAAAACCCTTGATTCTCTAATGATGTTGCTGCACCTTCAACACCACTGGGAACTCTGCCTGCTGCAAGCCAAATGCCCTGGTCTACCATTTGCACACCGGCAGTATAAACACAAAGCATGATTAGAGCCTCTGTGTACAGAAGAGAGTAACTGCTCACCCACACCAGCTCCTGTAGTTGTGGGGCCCTGACTTAGTCAATTACTGACGTCCTCCTTGGCAAGCAAATTTTGCCACTGGTCAGAGGGTTCATTTTAACAGTGCTGTGGGTGGTGGGGGCGTGAAGCAAAGGCGGAATGCATGTGTGCCTTGGAGGGTGCAGTGGCTTCTCCTCAGGGTGGGCTTTTGGAGCTGCTGTCCAGCTACCACCAGAGAGAGGCTCTGCTTGGCCAGGCAGGCAACGAGGGCGGGAGGAAGCAGGTGCACATGCATGCACACATGCACATATGCACACAGGCACACACACACATGCACACACACTCATACACCTGATACCAAGTTAAACCCCTCTCTCTTTTATCACGACCACTGACTATTATATTTTAAAACACATATTCAAGGGAAAATAGTGGATAGGAAGCAGGACTGGAATGCAGCTCCCACTCAGACGGACAGAGCAGCGTGTGGCAACTTGCATCATGAACCTGTCTTCCAGAACTACTGCAGGAATAGGCCAGGAAAGCTGAGAGAATCCACAGACCCTTGAAGAAGGCAGATTGCTTCTGCAGGACCCAGGAGACACACCAAACACTGCCCCGTGGCAGGCTGGTCCCCGCCCTGCAGGAGTGTTTGGACTGTGCAGTGTGATAAGCACTGTGGGTGAAGTACTGCAAAGTGCTAAAGGAACATACACAGGAGGAGCCAGAGGAGCCTTCACGGCCAAGGGGATGTGAGCTGGATCCTGAAAGAAGAAGTGTTTGAGAGAGAAGAGAAGAAGAAACATTCTAGGAAGACGTAATAGCATATACAAAGACAGAGGTCCCAAAGAACATGGCATGTTTGAAAAATGATGTAGCCGTATCTTAGCCTGAAACAGCTGGAGTCTAGCACTCATGGGATATGGCTGGAGATGCGACAGGAAAGTTACTCAGGACCAGATCGCCAAGGGCCTTTAGAAACGCACACTACTAGGCCGGGCGCGGGGGCTCACGCCTCAAATCCCAGCACTTTGGGAGGCCGAGGTTGGCAGATCGCCTGAGGTCAAGAGTACAAGACCAGCCTGACCAACGTGGAGAAACCCTGTCTCTACTAAAAGAATACAAAATTAGCCGGGCTTGGTGGTGGGTGCCTGTAATCCAAGCTATTTGGGGAGGCTGAGGTAGGAGAATCACTTGAACCTGGAGGCGGAGGTTGCAGTGAGCCAAGATCACGCTGTTGCACTCCAGTCTGGCAACAAGAGCAAGGGAAGGAGCGAGGGAAGGAGGGAGGGAGGGAAAGAGGGAGGGGGGGAGGGAGGGAGGGAGAGAGGGAGGGCACATTGCTTCGTGTAGCACCAAGGCGTCACTAGACCCGGGATTCACCTGCAAATAATCCGAGTGTGGGGAAGTGGGTGAGGGTGTTGATGAAACAAGGCTGTCTCAGGAATTGATGCATTGAAGGTGGATGGTGGCTATTTGGAATGCATTGAACCATTCTCTCTACCATTTCATATGTTTGGAAATTTTCATAATACAATTTTGAAACAAAAAATATCATCATCTTATGCAAGGACATTCTTTGTTGTTACATAATATTAGAATACTTTTATTATTGTTGTTAATAGCATTGTTGAGTTTTTTTAAAATAATCATGTTAACAGAAAAAAACCCCCATATTCATTAATCACAGGTCATAGTAACATATTCAAAACTTGTCTTAAAGACTAAGTGTATAAGAATGAAATGCATTTTAAAACAAAATTTACACTGTCCCAAACTTCACTTAAAAACTCCCCAAACCGAAAAAAACCCTGACTCCTTATTCACAATTTTAACTTAATATGCTGAATTTCATTATAATTCCACAAAAAATTATCAGTGTTAAAATGTATCTTTTATACTTTATTCTGCATTTAGAAATACAAGTTTACTATATTTATATAGTGTTTTCTCTTTTTAGAAAACTGTTAAAAAATATCTGAGTAAGAAATAAGCAAAGAAGAGGAATGTGACAGTCAAAAGTATATGGAAGAGAAAAAATTAAACTCATAAGTTGGCTGGGTGCGGTGGCTCATGGCTGTAATCCTAGTACTTTGAGAGGCAAAGATGGGAGAATCGCTTGAGCTCAGGAGTTCAAGACCAGCCTAGGCAACACAGTAAAACCTCATCTCTATTTAAAAAAATAAGGTCGGGCGTGGTGGCTCATGCCTGTAATTCCAACACTTTGGGAGGCCGAGGCAGGCAGATCACTTGAGGTCAGGAGTTCGAGATCAGCCTGGCCAACATGGCGAAACCCCATCTCTACTAAAAGTACAAAAATTAGCCGGGCATGGTGGTGGGTGCCTGTAATCCCAGCTACTCAGGAGCCTGAGGCAGGAGAATCGCTTGAACCGAGGAGGCGGAGGCTGCAGTCAGCCGAGATCATGCCACTGCACTCTAGCCTGGGCAATAAGAGCAAGACTCCGTCTCAAAATAAAATAAAATAAAATAAAATAGGCCGGGTGTGGTGGTGGCTCATGCCTGTAATCCCAGCACTTTGGGAGGCCGAAGCAGGTGGGTCATTTGAGGTCGGGAGTTTGAAACCAGCCTGGTCAACATGGTGAAACCCCGTCTCTACTAAAAATACAAAAATCAGCCAGGCATGGTGGTGGGCACCTGTAATCCCAGCTACTTGGGAGGCTGAGGCAGGAGAATTGCTTGAACCTAGGAGGCGGGGTTTGCAGTGAGCTGAGATCGCACCATTGCACTCTAGCCTGGACGACAGAGAGAGATTCCGTCTCAAAAAATAAAATAAAATAAAAACCCCTAAGTTTTTCTAAAGTGCCTAGAAACATGAACAGAAACAAAGGCAAATCTTAAACATAATTTTACAGGATTTACAATTATAAGGTGGCAGAATAAATGAAGTCTGTTACTTTTTTTCCCCTTTCCATGCTTTTTGCATTTGGTTTTGTGTGTGGGGGCAAATGTGTACACGGGCGAGAAAATGCACACACTCTTCTAAATAAGGGGGCAGTAAAAGAGTTATTAGGAAAGAAGAAAAAGCACAGGCAGGATCAAGGCAGAGTTTGCCCAATTAGTTCAAAGTGAGTTGCAATCGATGCCTAAGGAAAGTCACGGACAAAGCAATGACCTTGAAATTGTATGTGGCTCCTGTCAGAATTTTAAAATGGTTTTGCATAGAATTCTAGGAACTATTAATACATAATTAAAGCATCTACCACAGCCAATGATTCCTTTCTCAGGGAAGAAAACCCAGTGATGAAGCTGGAGAACGGTGATGGCCAAGGAGAGCTCACAGGGATGAAGCAGCAAGCACCAGCCAGGCCAGAAGAGTGAGACCCACCTTGGCAGGTACAGTGGAGCATCCATAATCCAAAAACGTAAAATCCCAAATGCTCCAAAATGCAAAACTTTCCGAGTGCCAACACAATGCCATAAGTTACCCTGAACACATCGGTTTTTCACTGTATTTATCAGTAGCATAGAAATACAGAGTCAGGAACGATGGTGATGCCAGACTGTCCACAAGGGTGGCTGAGACAGTGGCACCTTTGCTTTCTGATGGTTCAATCTGTACAAACTTTGTTTCATGCACAAAGTTATTAAAAAATTGTATAAAATAACTTCAGACTATGTATATAAGGTATATATGAAACATGAATTTCGTGTTTAAAATTGAGTCCTCATCCCCAAGATATCTCATTATGTATATGCAAATATTCCAAAATCTGAAAAAAATCAGAAAACCGGCTAGACGCGGTGGCTCATGCCTGTGAAATCCTAGCACTTTGGAGGGGCCGAGGTGGGAGGATCACCTGAGGTCAGGAGTTCAAGACCAGCCTGGCCAACATGGCGAAACCCCATCTCTACTAAAAATACAAAAATTAGCTGGGCATGGTGGCGCATGCCTGTAATCCCAGCTACTCGGGAGGCTGAGGCAGGAGAATCACTTGAATCCAGGAGGCAGAGGTTGCAGTGAGCCGAGATCGCGCCACTGTACTCTAGCCTGGGTGACAGAGCGAGACTCCGTCTCAAAAATAAAAAATAAAAATAAAAATAAAAATAAATAAATAAATCAGAAAACCTAAACATTTCCAGTTCCACGCATTTGGGAGACTCAACCTGCACCAGGAATTATACAGCTGCTGCCCCCGCTGGCTGTCATGAGGTATACTTTTAGCTACTTAAAGAAGTTTCCTCATATCCCTGGTTTATTAACGATTTTTAAAAAGGAACATATGTTGAATTTTATTAATTGCTATTTCAGTATCTACTGAGATGACTACCAGTTTCTCTCCTTTATCAACAACATTAATTCCTTAGGCAATTTCTTCTTTTTCTTTCTCTCTCTCATTCTTTCTTTCTTTCTTTAGAGATAGGATCACATTATGTTGCCCAGACTGGCCTCAAACTCCTGGGCTCAAGAGATCCTCCTACCATGGCCTCCCAAGAAGCTGGGACTAGATTTCTCAATAGATGGCTTTGTTTTTTTGTTTTGTTTTTTTTTTGAGATAAGGTCTCACTCTGTTGCCCAGGCTAGAGTGCAGTGGCATGATCACTGCTCACTGCAACCTCAAATGGCCAGGCTCAAGCAATCCTCCTGTCTCAGCCTCCTGAGTGGCTGGGACTACAGGCATCCGCTACCATACCTGGCTAATTTTTTTTATTGTTTGTAGAGATGGGAGTCTCGCTATGTTGTCCAGGCTGGTCTTGAACTCCTGGCTTCAAGTGATCCTTCCACCTTGGCCTCCCAAAGTGTTGGGATTACAGGTGTTAGCCACCACATCCAGCTCCTTAATAGATTAAAAAAATTTTTTTTTAATTAAAAAAATTAAAGATGGGGTTTTGTCATGTTGCCCAGGTTGGTCTCGAACTCCTGGGCTCAAGTGATTCACCCACCTTGGCTTCCCAAAGGCCTGGGATTACCCGATCCACCCATCTTGACTTCCCAAAGGGCTGGGATTACCTGAGCCGCCCACCTTGGCCTCCCAAAGGCCTGGGATTACCGGCAAGAGCTACCTTGCCCAGCCTAGATTTCTTAATCAACAGAAGAATACTTGCATTTCTAAGATAAACCTTACTTGACCACAATATATTCGGCTTTTAATCCTGCATAGCTAGTGTTTGTTTAGGAGCTTTGGCCACATTTTAAATGTAAGACTGATCGCTTGTTTTCTTCTTTGTGTGCTATCTTCCTCTGGCTTTGATTTCAAGATCAAGCTAGCCTTACGGAAGGAGCTGGGAAGTGCTCCATATTTTCCTATGTTCTAAAATAATTTAAATAAGGCATTAACTGTTCCTGAAAAGTTTTACAGAATTCATCCATAAACAGGCTGAATAGAATGGTATGCTCTTCTGTAGCAGAAGAGGAATAAGACCTTTCATTATCTTATTTAAAAAATAGCTTTGTTGGGGCTGGGTGCAATAGCTCACGCCTGTAATCTCAGCACTTCGGGAGGCTGATGTGGAAGGATGGCTTGAGCCTAGGAGTTGCAGACCAACCTGGGTGACAGAGTGAGACCCTGTCACAAAACAAAACAAAACAAAACAAAAAACCAACAAAAATAGTTTGAGATATAATTCACATTCACAGGTTCGCCAATTTAAAGTGTACCATCTCTGTTGCCCAGGCTGGAGTGCAGTGGTGTGATCCTGGCTCTCTGCCACCTCCACCTCCCAGGCTCAAGCAATCCTCCTATCTCAGCCTCCCAAGTAGTTGGGACCACAGGCGTGCACCACCACACCCGGATAGTTTTTGTATTTTTTTTGTTGAGATGGGGTTTCGCCATGGTGCCCAGGCTGGTCTTGAACTGCTGGGCTCAAGGGATCCTCCCACTTCAGTCTCCCGAAGTGCTGGGATTACAGGCGTGAACCACCATGCCCGGCCGGTGTGCTTTGATCAACGTTACTTTTAAAGATCTCTGCATTTATAGTTAAGAAGCTTCTCTTCTTTCTAAAGCTTTGCATTTTCTCCCATTTTTTCCTGAACAGACTTGACAAAGGTTTATCCACTTTACTGACTTATCCAAGAACTAAGTTTTTGTTTTTATTAAGCATGACTACCTTTGTAGTTGATTTCACTGATCTATGTCATTTCAGTAGACTTTAGGAGGGAAGAGAGGTAAGTGAATATATTCAGCAAACCGCTGAGTCACAAGAGTGGCAGAGCAATTTGGTGAATTCATTCTGATGAATTCAAGATGGGCACTTCATCCAAGTCCCCGCAAGTGTCCTGAAGTTTGAGACTCTGACAAAAGGCTATCCTAACTCACAATGAAACACTGGAGTTTCGCAGAGATTACACATACGTCCATAAATGTGTGCACCTCTTTGGGGTTTTGCAATATAATGGATCTTTCTGTTGTGCGTCCTCTGACAGTTTCTACTATGGCGTGCCATTGTTTTTACACTGTGTGACAGCACTGACAAGAATTACTACTGCAAATCAAAACACAAAAAAACCATTGGCAGAGCCATTACAATAAGTCACCAATAGAAGATGTCAGGTAGCAAGCCAGTGTTCACCAATGGGGACTACTCAAGGTACTCCCAGTTCAAATGGGAGGCAATGGAGAAGACAGAAGCATCTAGACCAACCCTAGGTCAGAATTGTTACTGCCTTTCTTGTGAGCTTGAACAAATTGATACCCTTGAGCCTGAATTTCTTCATTTGTAAAATGGTGACACACCATCTTTCCTGAGAGCATTTCTCAGGAACAGGGATAAGCACAAACATCCAATCGCAAAAGCTGCCAACTATATGTGGCATACATACCTGTGTCCACATGGGGCAAAGTCTGACAGTGCAGAAGAACAGAATCGCTGGAATCACTTTAAATTTTTGCTCGGTTTCTTCTTGTCTTCCTAGTCATCATCGCAGTTACTGCTGATGGAGACTGTACTACATCCCAGGCCCTCTAATGCAGCGGTCCCCATACTACATCCCAGGCCCTCTAATGCAGTGGTCCCCAACCTTTTTGGGAGGGACCAGTTTCATGGAAGACAATTTTTCCATGGATGGGGGAGCAGGGGGATGGTTTCAGCATGAAATTGTTCCACCTCAGATCATTTGGCATGAGTTAGAGTCTCATAAGGAAGGCTGGGCACGGTGGCTCACGCCTGTAATCCCAGCACTTTGGGAGGCTGAGGCAGGCAGATCACGAGGTCAGGAGTTTGAGACCAGCCTGGCCAACATGGTAAAACCCCGTCTCTACAAAAATACAAAAATTGGTTGGGCATGGTGGCAAGTGTCTGTAATCCCAGTTACTTGAGAGGCTGAGGCAGGAGAATCGCTGGAACCTGGGAGGTGGAGCTTGCAGTGAGCCGAGATTGCGCCACTGCACTCCAGCCTGGGCAACAGAGCAAGACTCTGTCTCAAAAAAAAAAAAAAAAAAAAAAAAAAAAGCTCATAAAGAGTGTGCAACCTAGATCCCTTGCTTGTGCAGTTCACAATAGGGTTCGCGCTCCTATGAGAATCTAATGCTGCTGTTGATCTGATAGGAGGCGGAGCTCGGGAGGTAATGCTCGCTCGCCTGCTGCTCACCTGCCGTGTGGGCCGATTCCTAACAGTAGTGGTCTGTGGCTAGGGGGTTGGGGACCCCTGCTCTAGTGGATATCATGCCCATGTTATTTAATCCACATATAATCCTCCTGGCTAGGTACTATTATTATTTCCAAGTTACATATGAAGAAACCAAAGCTTTAAGAAACTTACTAAAGTTCTCACAGTTATTAAGTAGAAGAAATGAGACTCTAAGGTGAATCTGACTCATGCTCTTAATTGCTATGGCTCTAATTACACATGCATTAAAAAAAGGGGGGTTACATCGTATGTATGTATAAGCTTCAAAGCTAGAGAAGTCAACGTGAAGACTGAGAGCCAAGGAAAGAGGGTAAATAAGCGTCTTACAATGCGCATGTGTGTACTGGGGAGGAGGTCTTGACGGAACAATGAAACATTCCACTTCCAAGAAAATGTGGAAAATGATTCATAAAATAACAACTTATTGCTAGCAACTTCCTGTCAGTTACAAATGACCAAAGTACAACCTAAAATAAAATGAATCAGTTAGCATGATGTTCAGAAACCTCATTGATGTTATATAAATTCAGATACATGGGAAACAGCTCCAAGTGGGACAGAAGGCAGCGTGTGTGTGTGTGTGTGTGTGTGTGTGTGTACATATATATATATTTTTTTTTTCAGATAAGGTCTTGCTCTGTTGCCCCAGCTAGAATGCAGTGATGCCCTCATGGTTCAGCACAGCCTCAACCTCCTGGACTCAGGAGGCATGGGACTCACCTCCCATGTCTGGCTAATTTTCTGTATTATTTATTTATTTTTATAGAGAGAGGGTTTCGCCATGTTGCCCAGGCCGATCTCGAACTCCTGGACTCAAATGATCCATCCACCTTGGCCTCCCAAAGTGCTGGGATTACGGGGTGAGCCACAGCACCCGGCCGTGGCAGCATATTAAACAGATTAAAAAGTGACTAAAATTTAGCCAAAAGGTTCCCAGACTAGTTCCCTTCCCCCAAAATCGCTCTTCCCTTTTCATATCAGAGATGAACCTGGCTCTGTTCCCCCTAACCTTAGCACAAGTGTAATCACGGCCATGAAAGGAAGGTGTCAAGGCGATTTCCTCGGATGCCAGATTCCGCAGGCGAGCCATCCCACTCTACCCACTTGCTACTGCCTTCAGTTATTCAACTGCAAACGTCACAAGCCCTGATGTCACCCACCGTCGGGTGGAGAAGCCTTTCACACCTCCAGGGTTCACTCAGTCATTTCACTTCCTCCGTTGCTCCGCCCTCACTGCTCTTTGATTAGCGCACCATCAACATGGCAAATGCAATTCCTCTCATTTCTCCAATGCCTCAAATAGAAATGCCTTATGTCTTTGTAAGAAATAACATTGACCACCTGAAGTATGGCAAGCCTAGGTGCCACAGTAAAAGCATAAGCTCCAAAATACATACGTTCATTTGTGTGACAAATGTTTACTGAAAACCAAGTTTCACTCATCCCAGTGGCCTCAAGACCTGGCAAATATTAAGATTTCAGTCTCCATCCTCACAGAGCTTACAATGTAATGGCAAATAAATGGGAGGGGCTACTGGGAAACACAAAGAAGTGCGTCCCCCTAACAGCACCTATCAATTGTGAGGGATCATGAGATAGCATGGGAAGTCTTCATCGGGGCTTCTGGGAAGGCTTCCCTGAGGAAGCGACATCTAACCTGAGACTTGGAGAAAACGAGCAGGTGGCCAAAGGAGAGGAAGGAATGATTCAAGGAGCAGGAGCTGTCTGTGTAAAGTCTGGCAGGCCTGGAGGAGCAAGGCAGTTTGAGGAAGCTGATGAAGGCCAGAGTAGCTGGAGGGAAATGCAGGGAGGAAAGAGGCACCAGGTGAGGCTGGGGAGGGAGGAGAAGGGGGCAAGGAGGGCGTGCCGGGAAGTGCGGACTCCTACAGGCAAAGGAAAAGTACCGGAGGCTTTAGAAATGAAAGCGATGGGATTAGAAATATGTTTGAAGGAAATATCTCCAACAGCAGCATGGCAAATTAATTGGAGGGGGCAGAGCAGGTGCTGGGAGAGCTTGGCTGCTGGAACGGTCCATAGGAAGATGACACTGGCCGGGAGTGAGGGAGAGAGGTGAACAAGCCGGAAGCAGCAGCAAGGAGCTGTTCTCTTGGACCTGGAGTCAAGCAGCTTTCCTGTTAAAACAGCTGGGAGGATGCGGGCATTTATGGAATCAGGCTGGTTAAAAAGAAAGAAAACAAACCGAAGAAGGAAGGGGAAGGAAGGAGATGGGCACAGAGAGATCAGTGTCAGGGGAATCTGAGCCGTGGAGGAGGGCACGACCTCCAGGCTGAAGGCACAGGATGAGATGTAGGCCTCAGACAGGGCAGCGAGAAGCCCATATCCAGTGCTCCAGGAGGGAGGGGAATCGTATGGGATGTGAGTTATATCACAGGGGTCCGAAGCATGGGTAAGGACTCAGCACAGCTGGCTGTGGGGTTGGAGCTGAACAGCTGTAGGGCCAAGAGGCCATTCTTCAACACATCCACCAGGAAGCAGAGAAAGTTCTGAGATGGGAGGTCACATGGCCCTAGAGCAATGGCCAGAGGTGCTCAATGCCCTGGGCCCTGATGACTTTCCAGCTGGTTCCAGTTACTTGCGAAGACTGGTGACGAGTCCCACTTACCAATACCCCCGAATCCTCCCAGCATTGTCCTCTGCTTAAACTAGTCAGGGATCTTCCGGTGACAAAACCTCTATCTACTCCAAGACAACAACCCTACCTCACCAAGTCGGAGACACCACCAAATGTGAAGTCACGTCCTGACTTCAGAGATACTGAAATGTGTACCTAGACCCTACAGAATAGGGCAATATGTTACATATGGCGCCAGCTCCAGAGGAACAACTTTAATTACAGGGATTTCATACAATTGTAACTACTCATAATCCAGAAACAATAAGTCTCTTATCTACGAGGAGTGTGTGAACTCAGCAGGGAAGGGTAGAGTTTGGAAAGCAGATAATCACCCGAGCCTTCTCGTGCCCTAAGTAATGATCGACAAGTACCAGACTGTGCCCACACACCTGCCACTTTGATATCTCCACCAGCAGAGGTCAGTGCCCCGCAGTAGAGTCAAGAAACCTGCAAGTTGACGCTTGGCTGTGAGAGTCAAGGGACAAGGGAATAATTCAATAGATGACCACAAATACACAGGGAGGCAATTCTCCCTTAAGCAAGTTCCAGCAGCTTCTAAGCCTTGTTTTCATTATACTCCCCTCCCTGAGTCTTTTTTATACATTCTCCCCCAACTGTCCTACCCCCACGACATTTTAATAGCACAGATATACTGTGTATTTGTTCATGTGCCGTGGCCCTTTGGGTGGCCAAAATCCACTGTAACAGCTGCAATTTTTTTGTCTCCCAACAAGAACCGATCTTCACTTACTCAGGGTGTTACTCACTCCAGTTGAGAATGAATGAGTTTTGAGTGAACACACATTTTTGTTTTGTTTATTTGTAAAGAGTGATTATTGGTTGCTTTGGGGTCTGATTTTTAAGCGAGAGAGAAAAAGCAAAAGATCACCAAGTGCCGGCCCCCTGGTTTTATAGAGAAAACTCTTAACGACAGCAATAACAACAAAACAAAGCCCGGAGAGGCCTCACGGGTTGTCCAAGGAAATACAGGCCCTTCATCACAGATCTGGGCCTGAATCCCGAGATGCCTCACTGAAAGACAATGCTTTCTTTCCCTCCTACGAAAAGTGGCCCCTACTTTTACCTATTTTGATCACTGTAGGTGAGGCTGACCAGTTTTGCTAGAAACAAGCAAGATTGGCTGGGTGCAGTGGCTCACACCTATAATCCCAGCACTTTGGGAGGCCGAGGCAGGCAGATCGCTTGAGGCCAGGAGTTCGAGACCAGCCTGGGCACCATGGTGAAACCCCATCTCTACTAAAAATACAAAAATTAGCCAGGCATGCTGGTGCATGCCTGTAATCCTAGCTACTCAGGAGGCTGAGGCATGAGAATTACTTGAGCCTGGGAGGCAGAGGTTGCCGTGAACCGAGATTGTACCACTGCACTCCAGCCTGGGCAACAGAGCGAGACAAAAATAAAAAGAGAGAAAAATAAAGCAAGATTGAGGCACGTTCTGGAAAGAAGATTCTATTTCGTTGTTGTCATTTTGTTTTTGTTTTTTGGAGACATGAAATTACTCCAGGCTGAAGTACAGTGGTGCAACCACATGCGCTCGGGTGATCCTCCCACCTCAGCCTCCCAAGTAGCCGGAACCACAGGCGTGCACCACCATGCCTAGCTAATTTTTAAAATTTTTTATAAAGACGGGGTCTCACCATGTTTCCCAGGCTGGTCTTGAACTCCTGGCCTTAAGCAATCTTCCTGCCTCTGCCTCCCAAAGTGCTGGGATTACAATGGTGAGCCGCCACGCCCGGCCTGGATTCTACTTTGGAAAATCTTTGCAAGTGAAGAAGAATAGGACAGAATGGCTGAACTGGGATGAAATAAGCGGCAAATGAGGAGGAAGAGGAGAGACAGTCAGTCTGGCAAGACACTCTCTGCTAAGAAGCGGGTAAAATCACCACAGCAAGTTATCAAAAACTTGAAAGAGCCCAGCTCCTCCGGCAGCTGGGAGAGAATGCGGACCGCTCTAAAGAGGCTGCAGACTTCATGAAGTGGTACCAGAGTAGAGCAGGTTTATTAATCACGGATAAAACTGCTGAATAATTACCTACTTCAAAAAGCATTCATGAGTTGTGTTTAGGTGCTTACAAAGTACTTTGTGCTTGGTCCTGGCCAGTAAGTTAGTTCAAGGCAGTTAATATAGATAAACACAAACACAGCAAAGACGTGGTCGGTGTAACAATTACAAATGTAAAAAGCAAACACAGAAAGGGATTGCTGGCTGGGCACCGTGGTTCATGCCTGTAGGTCCCAGTAGTTAGGGAGACTGCAGCCGGCAGATCACTTGAGCCCAGGAGTTTGAGACCAGCTTGGCCATCATAGTGAAACCCCATCTCTACTAAAGTACAAAAATTAGCCAGGCATGGTGGCATGCGCCTGTAGTCCCAGCTACTTGGGAGGCGGAAGCACCACTTGAGCCCAGGAGGTTGAGGCTGCAGTGAGCTGAGATCGCATCACTGTACTTCACCCCAGGTAAGAGTGAGACCCTGAGGGAGGGAGGGAGGGAAAAATTGCTATGGGCAAGGCTTCTCATACACAAAATCATTTCCTCCCCCAATATGCCCACAAAGTAACTACAAACACTTAATGAAATCATTGAGATCCAAAGCACTGCTGAGAACTTGCTATGTGCCAGCTGTGGTAGCAGGCACGGGGGAGAGAAAGGTGAATGCCAGAGAAGTACAGAGGGTATTCAGAGAAGGCCTCGGAGACCAGATGAGACTTGAGCTGAGCCTTGAAGTCTTACTAAGATCGGTGTGGCATGGAAAGCATGCAGCCCTCATCACGTGCCACCCCCTAAGGCACAGGCACAGTGAGGGAGACACAGAGCAGGGGGCTGGCACACTATGCCTGAGGGCCAAATCTGGGTTTTGGTAAAGAAGTTTTACTGGAGCCGAGCCCCGCCCCTTGGATTGTGTTAGCTGCTTTCTGCTTTCTTGCTACAAGGGCAAATTGAGTGGTTGTGACAGAAACTGAGACCATAACACCCGCAAAGGCTAAAATATTTACTATCTGACCCTTTACAGAAAAAGTTGGCCGGCCCATGTCCTGTTATTCCAAGAGGGGTCTGTGAACCGGCAGCAGGAGCGGCCCCTGTGCTAGGCAAGTCCCACCCCAGACCTAGAGAACTGGAATCTGCCTTTCAAAAAGATCTGTGGCTATTCTTATGCACAGAGAGGGAGGGGCACTGAGCCTGCGGAGTAAGAGAAGTCTGCACCTGTCGGATATACGGACAGAGGAACGTGGTCAAGACCTTCCCATAGAGGAGTGAGGCCATCAAACCCACCCGTACCATGTCCCTCTTGTCGTGGTAAGAAGGGTTGACAGCAGAAAAGGGATGGCAGCTCCTGTCATAACCCAGGCCAAAGACGACCCAACTAGGCAGGGTAGAACTCAATCTTTCTTCCTAACCTCACCAGTGCTTCCAAGATGTTTCTAACAAATATAGTATCAGTTATAACTTATTAGGAAATAGAAAAATCTTGGTAATGAAAATATGAGTAATCATGTGTTTCCACGTACAGCGAATATATCTCGGTTGAAGCAATGCCTCTAGACATCAATGCATACATGAAGACGTTAACAGGGTATGCTGGATGCTGAAAGATGAAATGAGGATCTCGTCAAGGGCTCCCTATTATGTAGGATATTTAGAGGTGTAATGTCTTACTGCTGGGACTTTTGTCCCTGCTAAATAAGTGTGAGATTCTGCTTGATATTCAATTTTCCTGTATTTTGGATGAATAAGCAATTTAAAGTTCAAAAGAAACAAAGCTGCATTTGGACTACCACGCCAACACTGTTCTTTCTTCCAGCTCAGCTCAGCCTCAAAGTCACTGTTTAACATTCTGCCTCCTTAAGAATCTAGAAAAGTTTGACAGGGTTATTCGTGGGATTCGGTGTGCTTTAAAGGAATGACAGCAATATAGATAAAAATAGATGGGTGAAGAGGGGAAATTCCTCTCTTAGACACTTAGGTTTAATACTTTACATTCATTACATTGGCAGACACAATGAAAAGAAAAAAAAGAGTGTATATCTGCTTAGAGAAATGCATAATTAAATTAATAAATCTCAAGTAAGAAGAAGAAAAGGGACAGGACACCAAATCTGTGTTGAGAAGAATCTCTGTGTTGGGTTTCATTAATAAAAATCTTAAAAAGCTCATGAATTCAGTACAATGCTTAATGGCACTTAAGCGATAATAGTAACTAACATTTATGAAGTACTCACTATGGGTTTACACTGTTTTTAAATGCCATGATACGGATTGGCTCATTTAATCCTCAAAACACCTGATATTAGCTCTATTTTAGAAATGAGAAAACCAAGGCACAGAGAGGTTAAGTAACTTGTCCAAGGTCACACAGCTAAATAAGTAGTAGCGATTCCTCTCGAACAGAAGCTGCTCTCTAGTTCTTCTTGCCTCCCTGCTAATTTGCAAAAATTGTAACTGTAAAAGACTCTCATTCTTACTAATATAAGAGACAAAACCCTGGTGATTTAGACATTCAAAGTCTTATGGAACGGGCACACCATTCCACCCTGTGGACAGCGGCCAAGATTTGGCCTGCAATATAATAAAACTGAGGAATAGTGAGATGGGTTCGAATGAAGACCCTGGATTATTTTTCTGTAGGATGAAATGCAAATTAAGTCCGGTAAAATTCTGAAATGCACCATTTGTTACCAATAAATACAGACAAACACTTTTAATGACAATGACTATGAACGCGTTCTCTTCCAGCTAACATGTTTGTGAAATGCTGCAGTGAATCTCAAAGATAACAGGCACCCGGCTAATTCTATTGGGTTAACACGTCCATGCTGGCTGTGCAGGCTTATTTAAGTAATTGCCTGACTGTGAATGAACAGAGGTATTAAAGTAAAGTTGGCACAAGGGACAGCATCCACATGGCACGTTCTTTGTTTCGAGAGCTTTATTCTATCAATACTCCTGGAAAAAAGAGAAGTTGCTAAATAAATAATGGAAGCACACAAGACAGTGTGAACGCCTTTTCAAGTCCTCGAATTGTCAAGCATCTTATATAAAGTTCTTTCCCGACTCTGAGCTCATCACATTTCATTTTACATATTAATTTTGCGTAAGAGCAAGCTCATCCCGTTCAAATGTTAACAGCTTCAAAATAAGATCCTGGTGAAAGCTCGTCACATTCCATTTTAAATATTAATTTTGCCAAAGAACGAGCTCATGCCTTTCAAATGTTAACAGCCTCCAAATAAGATCCAAGTTATTTACCTGTAAGATACAAGAAGAAGACAGGAGAGGGAAAAAAAACAACCAAGTGAGAGGAGAGGCGACAGAAATGACGGAGTGAGAGGGTCGCCTGAACTCAACACCGATTCAATAACCTCTTCAGGTTTTCCTATTTAACTTTCCCCATTAAAAAAGAAGACACACCCTACCGGTCATATCTTCACAGGCGCAGATAAGGGCACCAGTCTATGATTAAAGGGTCTGGACTGTGGGTATGATTCGGGGTTGCCTCCGAGTGCATGGTGACAAGCACAAACAATTAGCGCTCCCTGACACCTTGCTGTAATTCGAGTTCGGCGAGTAAGGACAAAAGGGCCGCCCGTCCGTGTGGATGCCGGGCTCAGGGCTGCGCTCTGGGAGCCTGGCTCGCGTCCCCTCCGCGGACGCCCGGTACCCCGCAGCCCGAGCTCGCCGGCGCCCGCATCCCCGCCCCGGTTCCCGCCCCGGCCCCTGGGCTTCCGCAGGACGCAGCTCGCCGTGGGGCAGCGCCGGAGATGGGGCGCGGGGTCCCCGCGGGTCCCGGTCCTCGGGCGGCCGGGCCGTGGGAGCGCCGGGCCGGCAGCGGGCGGGGCGCACTCACCTTCGTCCTCGAACTCCAGCTTCTCCAGCATGCCGGCTTCCGCGGGTCCCAGGGCCGCCGCCAGCGCCGCCTGAGGGGGAGGAGGAGGACAGCGATCAGCATGAGCTGCGACGCTCGTCCCCGGCCGGCGGGCTCGCGGCCGGCCGAGCGCTGGGGCCTGGCTCTGCCGCGCCGCCGGGAGGAGGGGCCTGGCAGGGGACGCGGGCAGCGGGGGCCGGGGGCGGAGCGGGAGCGCTGCCCCCACCCGCCCGAGGCCGCCGCCGCCGCCGCAGGTGGCGCGGCCGCGGCCCGCGTGCCCCTCCGCGAGTGGGACGCGCCGCTCCCCCCCGCGCCTTGGTACGGCCCGCCCGGGAGGAAGCGTGGGAAGGGACCCGGGAGCTCGAGGGCGGCAGCGCCTGGGCCCGGGGCGCCCCCCTCCGGCCGTGGCCCGCGTCCTCCCCGCCGTGCCGCCATTGGGAGAGGCCCGCGGCCCGCCCCCACTCCGCCCCCCGGCGCCGCTCACCTTCCCAGCACCGGCGGCCGCGCTCGGCAGGCTCCACCTGCGCAGGTGTGGGCTCCGCGGCGCGGGGAGGGGGAGAGGGGCTGGAGGCTGCAGAACGCCCCGGGGCGCCAGCTAGGGGATCCTTTCTCGCTTTCCTCTTCCCTTTCCAAATTTTAGATGTAACTGCCCATCCTCGGCCCCCTTAACAAAAATCGTTCCGTGGGCTACACGTATTGTAGATGCACTTTGTCGCTATCCATTTTTTTTTTTCCAGCATGGAACTCTTAATTCGCGTCCTCTCTTCGCAGCCGAGTGTCTTCTCGGTTGGGGAGCCGCTGCCAAAAACGTACACACCCTGAATCTGGCCCTGGCCGCTCAGGAGCTGGGTATCTGAGACTCTACTATGGCCAACTCAGGTTGGCAGGCTGCGCGGCCAGCAGCCGCTAGCCTCCTGGAAGGGCAGGACAGGCCGAGAGGGGACTGAGGTCCCTGGCCCCACGGCCCATCCCTGCAGAGTGCACGGGCGCCGCGAATGCGATTAGCTCCAGTACCGATTAGGGCTGAAAGGAGCTTGGCCCTAGCGCTCTTGCAAGCCGGGCCTGAAAGAGGAAGTCCTGAAAATGCCTCTCGTTTAGCTTTGTCATCTTACTTGCGCCAATCCCTAAGTCTTAAACCTCTTAAAAAAAGAAAAGGGGTGGGGAGAGAAAAAGAAAACAAAACTAAGATGTTTCATGGTAAAAAGCTACAGCAGATACCATACTTCATAGTGAAAGACTGTTTTCCCTATGAAGTTCAGAAACCAGGCCAGGGTGTCTGCTCTCACTAATCCTATTCAACATGGTTCTAGAAGTACTAGGCCCTGCAATAAGGCAAGAAAAGGAAAGAAAACGCATACAGATTGGAAAGGAAGAAAAACACCTGTGTAGATAACATGTTATCTACATACAAAATATCAAAGAATCTACAAAAGAAAGAAAAAACTCACCTGGAATTAGTGAGTTTGGTAAGGTCATAGCATACAAGATCAACACACAAAAATCAATCACATTTCTATAAACTAACAATGAACACATGGAAAAATATATAAAACAATATCACTTAATACAATCACTTCAAAGAAAATTAATACTTAGGCATAAACTCAAGAAACCATGTATAGTAGCTGTATGCTGAAAATCACAAACTGTAGATGAAAGACGAGCTAATAAATGGAGAGACAGTCCTGAGCTGGAAGCCCCAACATAGTAAAAATGACAATTCTCCCCCAGATTAATCTTTTGGTTTAATGCAATTGCTACCAAATTAGGGTTTTTTTTAAAGACATAAATAAGCTTATTCTAAAATTTATATGGAAAGGTGCAAGCTCTAGAATTCTATTTATTTATTTATTATTTTTTTGAGACGGAGTCTCGCTCTGTCACCCAGGCTGGAGTGCAGTGGCGCAACCTCGGCTCACTGCAAGCTCTGCTTCCTGGGTTCACGCCATTCTCCTGCCTCAGCCTCCCAAGTAGCTGGGACTACAGTAGAATTCTTTAATCTTGAAGTCGCTTAATATTAAAGCAAACTATATAGATACAGCAATCAAGACAATGGTATTGGCAGAAGAATGGATATAATAATCAATAGAAATAAATAGAAAACCCAGAAATAGACCCATGCAAACATGGCAAACCAATTTTTGATGGAGGTGTAAAAGCAATAGAACTGGAGTAATTGGATATCAAAAGGTAAAAAGACAAAAACAAACCCCAACCTAAGCCTTGCGTTTTACACAAAAATTAGCTCACATTGGATCGTGAACTTAAAACTATGAAACTTTTTGGAGAAAATATTTGGGAACTGGGGCAAGGCAAAAGTTAGACTTGACACCAAAAACACAGTCCATAAAAGGAAAAACATAAATGGACCTCATTAAAATTAAGAATTTTTGCTCTGCGAAAGACCCTGTTAAGAGGATGAAAAGAAAAGCTACACAGTAGGAGAAAATACTTGCAAATCACATAGCCAACAAATTACTAGCACACTGCCTATAGGGTTAGCCCTGCTCTCCAAGGAATAGCAAAAATAAAATAAAATAAAAATGTCTGGAATACATAAACACTACCAATATTAAACAGAAAATGGAGAAAATAATCCAATTAGAACATAGGCAAATGACACAGAGCTGTTTCACCAAGAAAGATATACAGATGGCAAATTAGTGCATGAAAAGATGTTCAAAGTCATTAGCCATTATATAAATGCGAATTAAAACCACAATGAGATACTACTACACAACTGTTAAAATGGCTAAAATCACAATAGTAACAACATCAAATGCTGGTAAGGATGTAGAGAGACAGACAGGATTACTTCTACACTGCTGGTGGGAATGCAAAATGGAACCACTGTTTTTTTTTTTTTTTTTCTTTTTTTTTTGAGACAGGGTCTCCCTCTGTGGCCCAGGCTGGAGCGCAGTGGACCTATCTCAACTCACTGCAACCTCTACCTCCCAGGTTCAGGCAATTTTCCTGTCTCAGCCTCCTGAGTAGCTAGGATTACAGGCACATGCTACCACAGGTCAGCTAATTTTTGTATTTTTAGTAGAGATGAGGTTTCACCATATTGGTCAGGCTGGTCTTGAACTCCCGACCTCAGGTGATCTGCCTGCCTTGGCCTCCCAAAGTGCTGGGATTACAGGCGTGAGCCACTGTGCCTGGTCAGGAACCACCACTCTTAAAAACAATTTGGCAGTTTTTTATAAAACTAAACATGCAACTACCATGTAACACATCAGTTACACTCTTGGGCATTTATCCCAGGGAAATGAAAACTTACATTTACACAAAAACTTGTACATGAATATTCATAGCAGCTTTTTTGCAACAGTGCAAACGAAATAACAGATGTCGTTCAATGGATGAATGGTGAAGCGGGCTGTGGTAGGTCCATCTATACCGTAAAATACTACTCAGCAAGAAAAAGGAAGGAACTACTGACACATACAACAACTTGGATAGATCTCCAGGGAATTATGCTGAGGGGGAAAAAGCCAGTCCTAAAACGTCATATACTGTATGATTCCATTTATATTATAGTCTTGAAATAAAATGGTCGAAATGGAGAACAGATTAGTGGATGCCGGGGATCAGGGGCTGGGGTAGGGGGCCAGAGGTGCCTATGGCTATAAGAGGATAATGTAAGAGATCCTTGTGGTGACCGAACTGTTCTACATCTTGACTGTATCAATGTCAATATCCTGCTTGTGATATCACCCTGTATTTTTCCCTATGAGTCAGGCCAAGCTGATTTAATTCTGTGGAGGAAATGACAATAAATTTTTTTTTTTTTTTTTTTGAGACGGAGTCTCGCTTTGTCCCCCAGGCTGGAGTGCAGTGGTGCCATCTCAGCTCACTGCCAGCTCCACCTCCCGGGTTCACGCCATTCTCCTGCCTTAGCCTCCGGAGTAGCTAGGACTACAGGCTAATTTTTTGTATTTTTTTTAGTAGAGACTGGGTTTCACCGTGTTAGCCAAGATGGTCTCGATCTCCTGACCTCGTGATCCACCCGCCTCAGACTCCCAAAGTGCTGGGATTACAGGCATGAGCCACCGCGCCCAGCCAAAAAAATCTTTACTGAAATATAATTCACATACCATAAAATAACTCACCCATTTAAAGTGTGCAGCCCAGTGATTTTTGGAATATTCAGAATTGTGCAACTATCTAAGTTTACATTTTCATCATCCCAAAGAGACAGCTTGTACCCATTAGCAGTCACGTCCCATTACCTGCTCAACCCTCACACCCATCCCTAGGCAACTATTTCCTGTCTCTATGGATTTGCCGATGCTGGGTATTTCTCATCAATGGGATCATACAATAGGTGGTCTTTTGTGACTAGCTTCCGCTTAATGTCAGGGCCCATTCACATTGTAACACGGATCAGCACTTCATTTCTGTTGACTGCTGAACGATACTCTGTTGTGTGGACACACACACCTTGTTTATCCTTTCGTCAGCTGATGGGCACTCAGGTGGTTTCCACTTTTTGGCTGTGGTGAAAATGCTCCTATGGACATTCCTGTGCAAGTGTTTGTGTGGACATGTGTTTCATTTCATATATACAGGAGTGGAATTGCTGGGCCACAGGGTAACCCTATGTTTAATATATATATATTTTAAATTTAGTTTTGAAATGGAGTCTCACTCTGTCACCCAGGCTGGAGTGCAGTAGCGCGATTTCAGCTCACTGCAACCTCTGCCTCCTGGGTTCAAGTGATTCTCCTGCCTCAGCCTCCCGAGTAGCTGGGACTACAGGTGCGCACAACCATGCTCGGCTAATTTTCATATTTTTAGTAGAGATGGGGTTTCACCATGTTGGCCAGGTTGGTCTCGAACTCCTGACCTCAGGTGATCCACCCGCCTCAGCCTCCCAAAGTGCTGGGATTACAGGCATGAGCCACCACACCTGGCCTCTCTACATTTAATATTTTGAGGACCTGCTGAACTGTTTTCAAGGTGGCTGCACCATTTTACATTTTTACCAGCAATGTATGAGGATTCAAGTTTCTCCTGTACTGTTTAGTTTTGCAAGATGTTACCACTGCGGGGAACTAGGTAAAGGGTGCACAGGATCTCTCTGCATTATTTCTTACAACTATATGTGAATATACAATTATCTCAAAATAAAAAGTTTAATTTTTAAAAAAAGTTTTTTAAAAAAACTTGGAGTGAGCCAAGGTACACAGGAAGTATCTCTCGTTCTAAGTCTATGCTTTTGTCTCTTGCAATAATTTAAAAAAATTCTTACCGGTGTTTATGATAAGCACCATCAATTTCACCTGTAATCGTGAGGGGTTGTTTTTTGGGAGGCAGAAATGGGCAACAAATGGCAGTATGTACGTCAGGAGGACCGCAAAAGTGGTTCACAGACTGAAAAGACCTATAAACCATCACTACAGAAGTTGGTAGAGAGTAGAAATTCTAACAATTAATGTTTTATGCAACTCCACTTGATAATGAATGGGTGTACAGGAGTAGCCTAAAATAAAAATGTTTTTATGTAATATGCTAGTGGGATTGAATTTATTTCTACAGGTTTTTTACTTAGTAAGAAATCTTATGTTTTCTTCCTTAGAAAGGAGGCTACTCATGGAACAACAGAAAAAGTCATGAGGTTTTTTTTTTTTTTTTATAACACACTAAGTCAATTTCAGGAATTTGAGGGCTTTTACAGTTTAGGTATGTACATTAATGTGCACAGGGTCAAAAGACAGACGAATTTGTCAGCACACAGAACTTGAAGCTGGTGGTCGTCGTTGCCCTTTTATGGCAATGTTTTCTTAAAGTCTCAACAGACTTATGCCAGACTTAATTTTAGCTGTTTCAGGCAGGCAGGGAAAGCCGGGAGAAGAGGCGAAGGGAGGGGAAGGGCGTGGGCAATGTCATGCAAGCAAAGGGAAGGGGCGTGCACTTGTGACACCGACTCCTCTCTCAGTCCATCAGCATCAGGGATGTTTGATGTAGCAAAAACAGACCAAATCCACCACCCAAACCCTCCTGATAATCCAGACCGATCTCCCCAGGGAGAACAAAATGGGCCAACCATGGCAGGGAGGAACTGGGTTCTGCTAACAGCCTGGCACAGTTCCACCACAGGGAACATTTCCATTTATATCACATCAGCCAGTCTGAGGTTACTGGACTCTAGTGTGGTGGGAGGGAACAGAGGGACCCAAGTTGGACTTTATGGAGAGAATGCCTGAGAAACATGGAGCCATCACAAGTGTGACTTCTTGGTTGGTAAAAAATGCTAAATTATTATCCCGGCATGGTGGCTCATGCCTGTAATCCCAGCACTTTGGGAGGCCGAGGCGGGCGGATCACAAGGTCAGGAGATCGAGACCATCCTGGCCAACATGGTGAAAACCCCGTCTCTACTAAAAATACAAAAATTAGCCGGGCATGGTTGCGCACACCTGTAGTCCCAGCTACTCGGGAGGCTGAGGCAGGAGAATCGCTTGAACCCAGGAGGCGGAACTTGGAGTGAGCCAAGATTGCACCACTGCACTCCAGCTTGGCGACAGAGTGAGACTCTGTCTCAAAAAAAAAAGCTAAATTATTAAGTTGTGTCTTACATAATTGTGCCCAGGTGCAGCAAAACACTGTATTTTGAATGACTATCAGAAGGGAAAACTTCAGCCTGAAAACTTAATCATAAAACAATTGCCAAAAAAGCACTCCTTTACGCACAGAGGTCGGATATGAGTTTGCTCTGCCTCTTAAAAGAAGTCTTAAATAGCTCCTGCAAGAAATAAATCAACCTCAAATACTGGGTAAGGAGCTCCTGAATAATTTAGCATACAGAACTCTTAGTTTCTGTGCATCCTGCTGTCTTCCTTGAGCTCCACTCTGCTCTGCAAGGGCGTCCTCCAAAGAGTAAAGAACGACGTGAAACCCCCTGGATGCTGGACAGGAGCTGCACATGCACTCTGCTCCCGTTCCCACTGGGCATTCTCCAGGCAGCTCCAACCCACCACTGTGCCTGACATGTCCAGGTCTCAGTCCCAGCCCAGCCCTCTCCTGAGCTCCACACTGCCATCATCTCCACTGGAGTTTTCTACACCAACGCAGATGCACTTCATCTAAAACTGTGCCCCAGTCCTCTGGGTCTTGCCGTCTTGGTTTCTTTTGAGACAACCCACTTGTCTCCATCCCTGCTACACCTCCCCTGTTTCAGGCTTCCATTTTCTCAGGGTTGGCCAGCCGGGCAGCTTGAGCTCCTCCAGTCTTGCCCGCTTTCCAGTCTATTTCCTTCCGTGTAGCCAGAGTGCCTATGATGGTTAAATTTGAATCCAGTCATCTTGACTGGATTAAGGAACACCTAGACAACCGGTAAAGCATTATTTCTGGGTGTGTCCGTGCAGGAGTTTCCAGAGACTGGCATGTGGGTCAGTGGACTGAGTGGGGAAGATCTGCCTCCAGTGTGGGCGGGCGCCATCTAATTAGCTGGGGGCCTGGAGAGAACAATAAAGGTGACAGAGGATTTCCTTGCTCTTTCTCCTGGAGCTGGGACACTTTCCTCTTCCTGCTCTTGGGCATCAGAACTCCAGGCTCTCCTGCCTTGACACTGGGACTTAACAGCAGCAGCCCTCTGGTTTTCAGGCCTTTGGCCTTGGACTGAGAATTACGCCACTGGCTTCTCTAGTTCTGAGGCTTTCAGACTTGGACTGAGCCACGCTACCATTACCTGCATCCCAGGGACTCCAGCTTGGAGATGGCCTGTTGTGGGACTTCTCAGCCTCCATAATCCCATGAGGCAATTCCCCCAATAAATCCCCTCTCATCCATCTATCAGTCAGTCAATCAATCAATCAATCAATCATCTATTATCTATCTACCTACCTCCATCCGTTTCTATCATCTATCTATCACCTATTGGCTCTGTCTCTCTGAAGAACCCTGACTGATAAGAGTGACATTTTAAAAATGTAGTCTTGGCCAGGCACAGTGGCTCACATGTGTAATCCCAGCACTTTGGGAGGACGAGGCAGGTGGATCACCTGAGGTCAGGAGTTCAAGACCAGCCTGGGCAACATGGTGAAACAATGTCTCTATGAAAAAAACAAAAATTAGCCGGGTATGGGGCATGCACCTGTAATTCCAGCTACTTGGGAGGCTGAGACACAAGAATTGTTTGAACCTGGGAGGCGGAGGTTGCAGTAAACTGAGATCCTGCCACTGCACTCTTGCCTGAGTGACAGAGTGAGACTCTGTCTCAACAAAAACAAAAACAAAACAGACTTATTATTCACTAACTTAGAACCATTCAGTGGCTCTCGGCAATCTTTAGGATTTTCTTGGCAAACTCCTGAGCTGGGGGGAAGGGCCTGATCATTTATTCACCTTCTCTTGCCATGTCCCTCTGTGTACCCCACACCTAAACCTTAAGGCATTGTCCTGGAATAGACCATACACTCCCTGCTGTAAGGGTTTCTGAGCATTCTGGCCTCCTTGTTTCTTCCTCCTTTCCTTGGCCAGTTCTTACTATTTTTAAAGATTCAGATCAATCTTTCTCTGAAAGCCTTTCCCGATTCTTTTCTTTCAGTCTGCTTTTCCTCCTTCCCCCACCGCCTTCCTTCCTTCCTTCCTTCCCCGATTCACGACCTTTTCTCACAACTTGCCTGGTTAATTACTTCTCTGAACCCACATGCTTCCATATGGCATTTAACACACTGGCTTGGGATTTACTTTTCTGTTTCCTCTGAGTCCCACATTGCTCTCTGAAGGGAACGAATGACTCATCATCCTTGTATTGCCTGTGTGTGACACATAGTAGGCATTCAAAAAATATTTGAGTGAAATGAATTGTTCATTCAGACATCCATTAAAACTTGGTAGGGAAACAGTTGATTTTAGTAGCATAAATGGGTTTAGAAGTTATTTCACTCAATTTACTCATGCTTCCCTTGGACCTCATTGCTGTTTGGAAATCATTATAGTCACTTTCCCTTTAGTGTTGGAATTAACATTTTGAAGGAAAAAAAGTGACTGTGCCAAGAAATGATGGCAGGGTAGTTTTTATTGTAATAGATTCTATCTGAGGACCAAAGTTCGCTGGCAGTATGAGATCCTGGCATGGATACTGGCTGAGAGCTTTGCCAGCTCTTGCCACCACCCTACAATTTCAGCTTTTTTGTTCCCTTCTTTTTTCCTTTTTTTTTTTTTTTTTTTTTTGAGATGGAGTCTCGCTCTGTTGCCAGGCTGGAGTGCAGTGGCACGATCTCGGCTCACTGCAATCTCCACCTCCCTGGTTCAAGTGATTCCCCTGCCTCAGCCTCCCAAGTAGCTGGGACTACAGGCGCACACCACCACACCCAGCAAATTTTTTGTATTTTAGTAGAGACAAGGTTTCACCATGTTGGCCAGGCTGGTCTGAAACTCTTGACCTCAAGTGATCCACCCACCTCAGCCTCCCAAAGTGCTGGGATGACAGGCAGGAGCCACCAGAACCGGCCCTTTCTTTCTTTTTTAAGAGACTGGGTCTTGCTCTGTCACCTAGGCTGGTGCAGTGGCACAATCATAGCTCACTGTAACCTTGAACTCCTGGGCTCAAGTGATTTTCCCATCTCAGCCTCCCAAGTACCTGGGAGTGCCAGCACGTGCCACCATACCTGGCTAATGTTGCCCAGGCTGGTCTGAAACTCCAGTGCTCAAGTGATCCTCTTGCCTCAGCCTCCCAAAGCACTGGGATTATAGGCATGAGTGACATCACCTGGCCAATTTTAGTTTCTGTTAAGGGAAGACAATTGATTTTTAAAAGTAGTGTAGAAATTTGAAAAAAATCTCAAATATATATTCAACACTATGAGTATTAATTCTTGGCCACATGCAGTAGCTCGGTCTGTAATCCTAGCATGTTGGGAGGTTGAGGTGGGAGGATCACTTGAGCCCAGGAGTTTGAGACCAGCCTGGGCAACATAGGGAGACCCCATCTTTAAAAAAAAAAAAAAAAAAAAAAAGGGGCCAGGCGTGGTGGCTCACACCTATAATCCCAGCACTTTGGGAGGCCGAGGCGGGTGGATCACGAGGTCAGGAGATCGAGACCATCCTGGCTAACACGGTGAAACACTGTCTCTGCTAAAAATACAGAAAAAAAAAAAATTAGCCAGGCATGGTGGCAGGCACCTGTAGTCCCAGCTACTCAGGAGGCTGAGGCAGGAGAATGGTGTGAACATGGGAAGCAGAGCTTGCAGTGAGCCAAGATCGCGCCACTGCACTCCAGCCTGGGCGACAGAGCGAGACTCCATCTCAAACAAACAAACAACAAACAAACAAAACAAAAGGTAGCTGGGCATAGTGGCTCATGCCTGTAGTCCCAGCTAGCTACACAGGAGGCTGAGGTGGGAGGACTGCTTGACTCCACGAGTTCAAGGCTGCAGTGAGCTGTGATCACACCACTGCCCTCCAACCCGGGCAACAAACTGAGACCACCCCACTCCCCAAAAAGAAGTGTATTAATTCTGCTGATTGCTTTTAATCAATATATTTGGAGAGAAGGTTTTGTTCATTTTGACAGCTTTCTGAATAACAATTTCAGATGCTATAAATATTAGTTCCTCCCTAACATTCATGATTTCTTTAAAGATAATTTATTCCACAGTATCTTTTCAGAGAGAGTAGCAACCAATTTGTCCAGCTCAAGTCAGCTGAAAACCTGTTTCAAAGGAAGTATTGTTAAACAAAAGGTGAAGAAAATTGATTAACCCAAAAAGTCCTTTGGATTCTCTATGTTAAATTATCTTCGAATTTCCAAAATAGGAGACAATGGTAAGCTTTTGAAGACAGTCATTCATTCAGCAAATACTTACTTAATATGGGCTATGTGCCCAGAACCAGGGTAGTTGGTTAATAAAATATCTGTTGAACGAACATGTGCTAGCATGACTAGAAATTGGCATAGAAGATATGAAGAAGGAGCTCAAGGAACATGGAGAATCAGCATGATTGCCTTGCTACCCTTCAAATTCATTCGTTACAGTCTGAAATGCATACATCTCTTGCCTTTCACAAATAAATCCATTTTTTTGCCAATCAAAATATTTTATTATTAGCTTTGTGTTTAACATGAGTTATTGGGAGCGGAATATTTATATTCTCTTATAGGTTGATAACTCTTAGTATTGTCTTATAATACATTGCAAATAAAAAAATAAGTAATGCTCACCAAGTTCATCTAACCTTTCAATTCTTAATGCAGCCAAGTCACAAACTTTGAAATATGTTGTATTTATATTAGAATGCAATGTACAGAATGATATAGTGTCACAAGGCAGTCTCTGTTTTCTATTCTCTGCTCCCTCCCCTGCAACTGACCTATTCATTAACCCTTTCTAGAACAGATCACTGTTAACTGTTTTTCAGCCCCTTTAAATCCCATATTGGGTGGAAGCTCTATTCCTAAATTGGTGAAAAATTACAAACATGATTGAGACAGACTACTTCCACTTCAGTTCTGCTCTACATAACGTGATCAAAAGGAAGTACAATATTCCAGCTGAAATTAAAGGGACCCACTAATGCCTCCACCACATCTTCTACATTCTGGAGACTTCAGTGGTCTTCATTTACTATCCACAGTGTTACATAGCCACTTATGGTGGATTAGAGTGAACTGCAGACACAGAGCCAAGGAAATGGAGAAGCAGGACCTTCATACCTCATAATGCAAATCCTTTAAAGAATGATTTGTAGTGTCCCTTTTTGTTGTGTGTAATTTACCAACAATAAACGATTTCTATTCCAAGTGTACAATTTGATGAGCTAGGATGAAATCATCAGTACAATTATACGATGGAATACTATTCAGTCATAAAAAGCAATAAATTAACAGCATTTGCAATGACCTGGATAAGACTAGAGACTATTATTCCAAGTGAAGTAATTCAGGAATGGAAAACGAAACATTGTGTGTTCTCACTGATATGTGGGAGCTAAGCTATGAGGACGCAAAGGCATAAGAATGATACAATAGACTGTGGGGACTTGGAGGGAAGAGCGGAAGCGGGGCAAGGGATAAAAGACTACAAACATGGTGCAGAGTATACTGCTCGGGTGATGGATGCACCAGGATCTTACAAATCTCCACTAAATAACTTACTCATGTAAGTTCATGTAACCAAATACCACCTGTATGCCAATAACTTATGGAAAAATAAAATTTAAAAAGTAAATAAATGTTAAAGAGAAAATTAAAAAAATAAAATATAGAGAAAATTTTTTTATCACTCCAAAAGTTTGCTCATGCTCCTTTGTGGTTCACCCCTTCTTCAAGGCAACCACTGATCTACTTTTTATCACTATGTCACTATAAATATTTCCTAGAATTTTGTGTATATGGAATCATACAGTATATGTGCTTTTGCTCCTGGATTATTTCACTTAGCATAATTATTTTGCCATTCATTCATGTCGCTCAGTATACCAGTAGTTTGTTCATTTCTATTGCTAAGTAGCATCCCATTCTATGGATAGACCCCATTTTGTCTATTCATTCACCAGTTGATGGACATGTGGGATATTTTCACTTTTTGACCATTGGGAATAAAGCTGTGAACATGTGTGGTCAAGTCTTTGTAGGAACATGCTTTCATTTCTCTTGGGCAAATACCAAGGAGTAGAATGGCTGAGTCATTTGGTAGGTGTGTGTTTAATATGAGAAACCACCCATTTCACAGACTGGCTGTACCATTTTACATTTCTGCCCAAAGTGGTTGAGAGTTCCAGTTGCTTCATGTCCTCATCAATGCTTGGTATGGTCTCTTAACATTTTTTATCATTTTAGTCATTCTAGTGGGTGTATAGGTTTCTTGCTGTGAGTTTAATTTGCATTTCCTTGAGGACAATATCTTTTTGTGTTTATTGGTAATTAATGTGTTTTCTTTTGTGAAGTGACTGTACACATCTTTTGTCTATTTATTTATTAGAGTTTTTGTTCTTATTGAGTTGTATGAATATGGCAAGCAGACTCTGAGATGGCCCCCAATGCATGATCCCCACCTCCTGGCATTCATGTACTTGTGTATCCCTCTTCTTGAGTGTGAGCAGGACCTAGTGACTTACTTCTAGCCAACAGTATTCAGCACAGGTGATGGGACACCACTTCCATTATTAAGCTTCTGTCTATATACATAAGACTGTGGCTTGTCTTTCTAGCAGATCACTATCTTGCTGGCTTTGGTGAAGCAAGCTGCCATGCGGGAGAGGCCCATGTCAATGAACTAAGGCTCTCAGTCTAACCGCTTGCAAGGAACTAAACACTGCCACTAACCACATGAGCTTGGAAAGGGATCCTTCCCCAGCTGAGCCTTCGGATGAGACCCTGGTCCTGGCCAACATCTTGATTGCAAGCTTCACAAAAGAGCCTGAGGCAGAGGACTCAACTAAGCTGTACCTGAACTTCTGACCTACAGAAGCTATGAGATAATCAATGCATGATTTCAGCCACTAAGTTTGTGGTAATCTCTTACACAACTAGATAATACAATGGGTTTTAAAAAAATGCATTTAGGATGTAAGTCCTTTGTCAGACACATGTACTGTGAATAGTGAATATTTTCTCTCCTTCTGTGGCTTGCCTTTTCATATTCCTAGTCATGTCTTTCAAAGAGCAAGTTTTTAATTTTGATAAGATCCTATTTATTATATTATGACTCATGCTTTTTCTGTCCTAGCTAAGAAATCTTTGCCTCCTCTTCTTCCAAGGTTGTGAGGATTGTCTTAAATGTTTCCTTCTAGAAGTTTTACATTTTCCTTTTACTAGGCCTAGGATCCATTTTGATTTAATTTTTAAATTATGATATGTGGCAAGGGTTGAGGTTCATATTTTCCATACTGAAATCCAATTGTTCCACATTGCTTGTTGAAAAGATTTTGCTGCCTCACTGGATTCCCTTGGTACCTTTATTTAAAATCAATTGACCATATATGGGGATCTATTTCTGGATTCTCTATTTTGTTCATTGATTTATATCTATACTTTCATCATGACCACACTGTTTTGATTACTGTAGCTCTATAATAGGCCTTAAAATCAGGTAGTGGACATTCTCCAACTTTGTTCTTCATTTAAAAAATGGCTGTGAGTCCTTTAAGTTCCTTATGTTTCTATATACATTCCAGAATTAAAAATAAAACCTACTGGAATCTTGGCTGGGACGGCATTTGATCTACAGATCAATTTGGGAAGAAATGACAACAGTATTAAGTGTTCCAATCCATGATCATGGCATATCTTTCCATTTGTTTAGCCCTTTGATTTCTCTCAGCAATCTTTTGTAGTTTTCACCATGGAGGTCTTACATATCTTTTGTTAAATTTATTCCTAAGTATTTATTTTTTGATGCTCTCATAAATGAAATTGCTTATAAAATTTCATTTCCCAATTGTTTGCTGTTAGCATATAAAAATACAGTGGATTTTCATACATTAACCTTGTATCCTGTGACCTTGCTAAATTCACTTGTAAGTTCTAGTGGTAATTTTGTAGATTTCTTAGGATTTTTCTGCATAAGTAATCACATCATCTACTGCCTCTTAAATTATTTTGCAATTCCCCGATACTGTATAATTTTAGCTATGTGTTCAGTGTATTATACATAACTCTGATTCTTATCAAAATGTATCATTTTAGTTATTCCTTGGCTCATACATATAAAATATGTACTATATGTTACACATATATGTAATATTACAGATTACCTATGTCATATTACACATGGATAGATGGATATCTGCTGCTTTCAGCTCACGTGCACAACCTCAGTAGTGGTATCCACCATTTGACGTGTGCACACTGGAGCCAGCTGGAGCGGGTACTCATGGCTGCCTACTTGGCATCCATTCCTCTTCCTCTACCTTCCTTCCTAGAATAACCCAAATGCTGTTGCAGTATATATGCTTTCATGATAGTGACAAGCTCTCTCGAGCTACCCTGGGCTACCAGGGAGGACTCAGGGTTGGAGAGAGCCAGACCGCACATGCATGTGTGCACAGCCCCGTCCATCCCCTGTTCTTGCCACAAGCAAGCATGCAGCCCTGACTGCTATTGAGAAACAGCCTTCAGATGAAGCCATTGCAGAGAGAGAGAAGAACGTGGGTCCTAGGTGACAGCATTGAGCAGGGCTGTATCTCACCTTGCCTGGGGCCTGGCCTGCTTCTGTACCTGTATGGATGATACAATAGATGTCCTTATCCTTCAAGCCAGTTTGAGTTGGAATTCTCTGCTGCTTTGCAGCCAGAAACAGCCTAGGTAACATTTGGGTATTCAATGAGATACAGGCCCGGCCCTCAGAAGGTTATATTCTAATTAGGTGACAGTTATAATTGGGGAAATCAGATTTCTGCATATGTCACACTGTAAAAAATTACAAAGTAATTTAAATAATAAAAAGCTATAGCGACTGCATTGTGGGCACAAATGCTAAGGAAACCTTTGAGAGGAAGGCTTCCTACAGAGATGTGCAGAGGCAGATTTTGAAGGGAGCAAGGAAAGGTGGACATTCGGGTGGCGGCTGTGGCAGAGGAAGAGCCTGAAGGTCAGGATGTGCTGATGGTCTTTATCTGAGAGTAGAACATTCTTGTAGAGAAGTGAAAGAAAGATTGGAGACCACTGGGAGTGAAAGGAATGGAATTGGATTTCTTAGGATTGCATGTAAGAAGTGAATGTAGATAATCTCAAATCGTTTTTGGCAATATAAAAAAATCCTAATATCTGCATACAGTAGAGAGGGTTGGCTGCAGGAGAGCCTGGAGTCAGCGGGGACATTGAAGACGTCTTTACAATGAATGTAAAAATTAAGCGAGCAGGTCAGAGGTACTGCAGAGATAAGAACAGTTTCGACTTTGTGGATTAGGAAGTAAATAGGAAAGAGATTGGGAATGTCAGGGAACAGGGATTGAATGGGCCTGTGTGAGGTAATAAAGGGGGAATGCTGCAATCAATCTGTTAAACTTCAGCTATTACAAGGCTGTCCAAAAAAGTACCTTTGGTGTGTAACTAGAGTAGCTTCCAGTGTCATTTGGCGGAGAGGAGGGGTGGGTGGTGTGGATCATGCTGAGGAAGAATGACAGAGATTTTTGATTCATCAGCTATGCCTCCCAAACTTTGGACAGGTGTCATTCTATCATATCCCCATACAACCTACACAGTTATTTAAATTGACTTAAACCCCCAAGTCTTCCCTTAGGCAACAATTCCATGAAATCATAGGTTTTGCTGTTTCAGATATATTTTTCCATGATATACAAAAATGTCGCTATGAAAACGTTCATCCTTGTACCGCCTGAAAGCATCTTGCATCCCACCGTGGTCCTCATGCCCCCTGCTTTGGGAAAACTGGTGTGTGAGAACAAGCGGAGTCAGCATGAAGGGCTGGGGCACCCGGGAAAAGCACGGAGACATTGCTAGGAGGGGCCGGTGTCTTCTCAAAGGGTGAAAGGGAAGAGACATCGATTTAACAAGCAGCCCTAGTAGCTGCAACACAAAGGCATTTGCTATAATTGGAAGCTGAGAAACCAGGCTTTAGGGAATGAAAATCTAAACCAGTGTTTTTAAAACTGTAAACTGTGACCCACTCATGGGTCATGAAATCAATTATGAGTCAAGTACTGTAAAATAATAGTTTACTTTAAAATGAAATGTAATAGAGGGCTGGGTGCAGTGGTCCATGTCTGTAGTCCCAGCTACGTGGGAGGGTGAGGCAGGAGGATGGCTGGAACCCAGGAGTTTTAACCCAAGGCAACATAGTGAGACCCCCGTCTCTTTAAAAAACAGAAAGAAAGGGGAAAAATCAGGTATGTGAGAGAGGACCAGGATTTTTTTTTTTTCCTTTTTATGATCAGAGACTACATAATAAAGAAATAGAGTGTACATCTTCGGATGCCTCTTGACCGAAAGACGTAGTCATTCATATGGGATATGAGTTAAAGGAATGTTCTTGTCACTAAATGTGCTCAAATTTCCCTTCACCCGAAGAGCAAGTAGCCAGTGTCTGTACTAAGTTAGACCTGAGGGAAGGAATGATTATTTTATTTTATTTTATTTTATTTTATTTGAGACGGAGTCTCATTCTGTTGCCGAGGTTGGAGTGCAGTGGTGTGATCTTGGCTCACTGCAACCTCCACCTCCCAGGTTCAAACGATTCTCCTGCCTCAGCCTCCTGAGTAGCTGGGATTGCAGGCACCTACCACCACACCTGGCTAAGTTGTGTATGTTTAGCAGAGATGGAGTTTCACCATGTTGTCCAGGCTGGTCTTGAACTCCTGATCTCAAGTGATCCTCTCACCTTGGCCTCCCAAAGTGCTGGGATTACAGGTGTGAACCACCGTGCCTGGCCAAGACTGCATTTTTAAGTTGCAAGTAATATGGTGAAAAATTAGTGTGTACCAACTTTTGTCATGTTGGTTGTGCTTGATATGGTTTGGATCTGTGTCCCCACCCAAATCTCATGCCCAATTGTAATCTCCAGTGTTGGATGTGGGGCTGGTAGGAGGTGATTGGATCATGGGGGCGGTTTCTCATGAATGGTTTAGCACAATCCCCTCAGTGCTGTCCTCGTGATAGTCAGTGAATTTTCATGAGAGCTGGTTGTTCAAAAGCATGCAGTGCCTCCCCTCCTTCTTGCTCCTGCTCCCGCCACGTGAGGTATGTGCGGCCCCTTCACCTTCTGCCATGATTATAATTTTACTGAAGCCTCCAGAGAAGCCGAGCGGATACCAGCATCATGCTTCCTGTACAGCCTGCAGAACTGTGAGCCAATTAAACCTCTTTCCTTTATAAATTACCCAGTCTCAGGTATTTATAGCAATGAGAGAATGGACTCATACAGTGCTTTTTAAAGGGATATGCAGGTATCTAATTCTACATATCTGGAGGAAATGTCCCCCTCACCTCCCCGACACACACCCCTGTATGTGTTGCAAAGCGTAATGACTACTTGGTATTTCTATTTTCTTTTTAAACAGCAAAAATTAAAAAGAAAATTAGCCGGACACGGTGGCACGCGCCTATAGTCCCAGCTACTCAGGAGCCTGAGGCGGGAGGATTGCCTGGGAGGTGGAGGCTGCAGTGAGCTGTGATCACATCACTGCACTCCAGCCTGAGTGACAGAGTGAGAGAGCCTGTCTCAACAAAAAAGTTTAAGAGAAAAATGGTAATGGTTGACTATTTTCCTGCTGAGAAGTGGGCCTGGGTGATAGCGAAACCCAGTCTCAAAAAAAAAAAAAATTTAGAAGAAAAATGGTAATGGTTAATGATTTTTCTGCTGAGAAGTGGGCAATTACGCAAACTTTACCTCTAGGGAATGGTTTGCATGTTAAGATTGGAACCAGAGCAGGGGAAGGGGTTATGGTCCTAAATCCTACCAAACTCAGCAGTTCCTGTCGCTGTGTTCCTAAAGATCTGTGGATGACAGTAATGCTTGACAACAGTGACATATGCTGACACGCTATACTAGCAGTTTGAAAACTGGCCAGAGGACTCCTGAGGGTCCATGAAACCTTTTCAGGGAGTCTACAGGTGGAAACTTTTTGTGCCAACACTAAGGCGTCATTTGCTTTTTACCCACCATTGCTTTTCCCCATCAATGTCAGCACCGTGGCAAATTCTGGTGCCTTAATTCACATCAACAAGGCAGTGGCAAACTGTGACAACCTCCTACTCCAGGGGAGAAGGCCAGTGTCACTTAAGAAGGTCTTTGATAATGCCATACATTTATTCATTTTGTCAAATCTCAGCTCTTGAGTATGTGTCTTTTTAATATTCTGTGTGATGAAATGAGAGGTGCACATATAACTTTTCCGTTGCAAATTATGATGATGTTCTTGAGGAAAACATGTGCAATTGAGCTGCTTTTAAAACCCTGAAAAATTGTAGTTATTTGGACCTGGGTATTTGGTAGACAGTTTTTTTTCAAAATGAATAAACTGAGCCTGTCACTGCAAGGAAAACAACTGACATATTTGTTGTCAATGATAAAGTTTGAGTTTTCAAGCAAAAATTAGAATTTTGGAAACCTTGTGTCTGCCACGATGAGCTTGACAATTTCCCCATACTTAGAGATTTCTCTGGGGAGATTAGTGGTGTTATTAAGAAATGCTTTTTAGTTATTGTGTAACAAAATGTGTTCCTATTTGGAAGATCTGCATTAGTCAGTGAGCCAATATTTTCCAGATGACTAATGCATGGTATTATAAAATCATGCATGGGTGAAAGATCCATTCGAAATACAAGATAGGGCTGGGCACGGTGGCTCATGCCTGTAATCCCAGCACTTTGGGAGGCCAAGGTGGGCAGATCACTTGAGGTCAGCAGTTCGAGACCATCCTGGCCAACATAGTGAAACCCCGTCTCTACTAAAAATACAAAAATTAGCTGGGCTTGGTGGCGAGTGCCTGTAATCCCAGCTGTTCGAGAGGCTGAGGTAGGAGAATCTCTTGAACCCGGGAGGTGGAGGTTGCAGTGAGCTGAGATTGCGCCACTGCACTCCAGCCTAGGCAACAGGGCGAGACTCCACCTAAAAACAAACAAAAAACCAAAAATGCAAGATAGATGGACAGATTCTAACATAATAGACTCTAGGTAAGTAGGCTCCGAAAAGTTCAATGATATGGTGTCAGATTACACACTGCGGCTAACCTTCAAGAAACTACCACTTGTCCTCTGGGTTCATCCATGTTGTCACAGATGACATCAGGCTAAGTGAAATAAGCCAAGCACGGAAAGACAAGTACTGCATGAGCTCACTTGTAGATTATAAACAGTGAAACTCATAAAGGCAGCGAGTAGAATGGAGGTTCCAGAGACTGGGGCTGGGGTTGGATGGGGAAAGGCAGGAGGCTGGCCAAAGTGTACAAAGTTTCAGTTTCATGGGAGAAATAAGTTCTGATGTATCGCACAGCACTGTGACTACAGTTAATAATAAAGACTGCTAAGTGTAGATTTTAAGTGTTCTCACAAAGAAATGATAGGTATGTGAGGTGACAGATACGTTAATTAGCTCGGTTTAATCATTCTGTATTGTATACACATATCACAGCATCACAGTGTACCCCATAATTATATACGATTTTTATTTAGCAGTTAAATATTTAAAAAACCCCACCACTTGTCAAGAAGGCTATCCACAATTATCTGAAGAGGTAAACCAATACACTCCTCTCTTTTTTTCCAACCGCCTATCTGTCTGAGGCTCGATTTTCTTCATGTGCTTCAACCAAAACAACATATGGCAACAGACCGGGTGCTGAAGCAGATCTGAGAATTCCACCGAATTCTTCTAACCCAGACATGAAAAAGCTTTGCAGCAATGTAAAAGGAGTTCTTTTTCACAAAGATGGATTTATGCTAATATGTAATGAGTTTATTACTGATCTTTTCAGATAAATTAATATTTAAAAAGTTTTAATTTATAATATGGTAAATTCTTTTTCTTTTTTCTTTTCTTGTTTTGCTAATCTTCTCTGTATCATCCCAGTTTTAGTATATGTGCTGTCAAAGCAGGCACACAATATGGTAAATATTAGTAGATGGAACCCAATATCCAAAAAAGCCCATTGGGTCTCTTTTTTCTTTTTGAGATGGGGTCACCCAGGCTAGAGTACAATGGCATGATCGGGCTCACTGCAACCTCTTCACCCCCAGGCTCAAGTGGTCCTTCTCATGAGTGGCTGGGACTACAGATGTGAGCCACCACACCTGGCTAATTTTTCTGTAGTGATGGGGTTTCACCACGTTGTCCAGGCTGGGCTTGAACTCCTGGGCTCAAGCGATCTGCCCGCCTCAGCCTCCCAGAGTGTCAGGATTACAGATGGAAGCCACCACACCCGGCTTGTTTGGGTCTCAATAATTATGAGTACACAGGGGTCCTGAGACCAACTGATTTGATAACTACTGAACTGCCGTACAGCAAGACCTCAAGCTCAGAAATAACTCAGGCGCTAATGAAAGTTAAAGGAAATATCCCTTTCCTCCTTTTCTCTGAACTTAATGCCCTAGAATTGTGTGAGGTATCAACAGAAAAAACTTTAATCATCATAGCAGAGCCTAGTACAGCTATAATCCAAATTTCTACTACCTTCTATAAACCAAGAGGTCCTGTTCCCTTTATCTCAACCACATCATTAGTAGTGTTTTCAGTGTGAAAAAATTATCATTAAATTTGCTTGTTAAAAAAAAATACGTTAGCTTTTTGCCTAAATACCACATACATATTTTAAAGTGCAAGGGGTTTTAGACTATTCTAGTGCTGATTAATATAGCTTCAGTCCCCTTTAGATCGAAAACAGGAAAAAATTTGTCCTTATGAGTACTGGATAATTAACAAAATGTACATAATTTAGTTATTCTCACCCACCGATACGACAACCTGGATAACCTCAGGCTACTAGAATCCAAATCATGGGTTGGAAATGCAACAGAGAAGCAAACAGGAATGGGTTGAAAATTCTTTTTTAACATGTTACAGACTTGGGGCTGGGTGCAGTGGCTCATGCCTCTAATTCCAGCACTTTGTGAGTCTGAGGCGGGCCGATCACCTGAGGTTAGGGGTTTGAGATCAGCCTGGCCAGCATGGTGAAACCAAGTCTCTACTAGAAATACAAAAATTAGCCAAGCATGGTGACGGATGCCTGTAATCCCAGCTACTTGGGAGGCTGAGGCAGGAGAATCACTTGAACCCTGGAGCTGGAGGTTGCAGTGAGCTGAGATTGTGTCACTGCACTCTAGCCTGAGTGACAGAGCGAGACTCCATCTCAAAACGAACAAAAATCTTACAGACTTGGTACACGTCTCGCTGCAGATAAGCCCAATCCTTTCATATACTCATAATGACAGAAATCTGTCAAATTTCTATTCCTCAAAAGAGACTGAACCCTACTTAAGTTGATAAATACCCTTATATGCAATATAATTTTACTTGTTTAAAAATTATCATAATTATTTTAGATGTTTTAAATCATGGTGTTTTCAAAATGAGGATAATTTCTTTGTGTTTTATAGATGCTGGGGTTTTCTTTATCTGTTTTTGGACAGACAAACCCATCCTTTTGAAATAGTCATACAGTGTTCATTGGCTGATCATAGATATGCCAACCAGGAAAGCCTTTCTTCCATTTAACTTTGTCTTCAAAGAAACGTGTCTACAGGATGTCCCATGGTGAAGGATGAGGACGAGGCTTGCAGCAAGCCATCCCCTGGCCCGCCTTCTGTGCTGCAGTCTTCTTGCACCCCAGACACAATCACAGCATTGCTAGCTTCCCCTCCTTAACTCATATGGCTCACTGATGTTAGTCATTTCTATTTTTTCTCTATGCCTATCAAGACTACCTCTCACAAATGCACCTTGCCCCCAAACCCTTCCTCCCACTGTCCATATAGTTATGAATTCTTTTGCTATGTCAATATTCAAGGTTTCAACTTATTACGACTATGCAAATACTACTGATACCTGAGCCAAACCATATAGTGTACTATAGTTCACCTTCCTTTTTGTCATTTTTCTCCTGTGCTTTTACTATGCTCAGTCTGATATTGGAGAAAGTGCCAGAGACAGTAAAGGGAGACAAAGTAGAGGAGGAGGAGAAATGTCAAAGTAGCTCAGGATATGCTGGGTTTTTCTTTTTTGAGACAGAGTCTCGCTCTATGGCCCAGGCTGGGGTGCAGTGGTGTGATCTTGGCTTGCTGCAACCTCCATCTCCTGGATTCGAGCTGTTCTCATGCCCCAGCTTCCCAAGTAGCTGGGGCTACAGGCATGTGCCACCACGCCTGGCTAATTTTTGTATTTTTAGTAGCAACGGGGTTTTGCCATGTTGGCCAGGCTGGTCTCGAAATCCTGGCCTCAAGTAATCCACCCACCTTGGCCTCTCAAAGTGCTGGGATTACAGACATGAGCCACCATGCCCGGCTGGGATACGTTGTTGTTGAATTCACTCTTGAAAATGAAATATTCCCAAATTTAACCTGAGGAGAGGGACTCAAATGACAAGTATTACTCGGGAAATATGTGAACAAGTCATTATATTTTTATTTTTTTACTTGTTATTTCTTGGGTATTCTTTCAGAAAGAAACAGCAATAGTTTTGTATTCTTGAAGGACACCACATCAGAGAAATGAAAGGGTACGCCATCTCTGGACAGCCCTACACTGCCATTCAAAGGTATTTGGCCCAAAAGTACTCTGTGCGGCATTGCTTTTTCCATTTTCCTCTTCAAAATAGCCTATTAGATATGAGCTGATCGCTCCTAAGAATCGTGAGCCCTCCTTAATCTCTCTGCTGCTGGACCCTAACACAGCCCATGCAGAATCACCTGTGTGTGAAGTAGCACCCTGGGCAAGAAGCCCACAGCTGCTTGGTGGCTTGGCAGCCTCTCTAGGACTAAAACTCAGTTTCCAAGGGTAGTTTAGCAATGGTAAGGAGTATGGATTCTGGACATACTACCTGGGCTTAACCCTGGCTTGAGCAATTTATTAAATTGCTCCAGGACTGGCTACATAATTTGCCAGATCCAGAGCAAAAAGAAAATGAGAGGTCCCTTGTTCAAAAATTGGGAATTTCCAGACTATGACAATAGAGCATCAAATCAAGGATGGGACTCATCTAAACACAGGGCCCTGTGTGCTGTGAAACATCCATGAAGCTGCTCGTGCCTCAGTTTCCTCATCTGTAAAATGGGATCGTAGCAGCACCTACCTCATAGAGCGGTAAGGAATATGTGAGTTAATTACACAGACAGCACTTATAAGAGTGCCAGCACTTAGTAAGAGCTCAGTAAATTATTATCACACCCCACATAGCCTACACTTTGAGTCAGGCCATCTCAAACATACTACCCAAATCTGGTGAAAATTCATTTAGTTATTTCTCTGTGACATGGTAAAAGTCAAACAGGCAAACTTAATTTGTAAATTTCATTAACAGCAATACAGCTGTTTGAAACCCTGGAATTTTTATCAGTAAACAAAAACTCAGTCTAATTTTTTTAAACCTGAAACCTGAGTAGCACTATATTGTGCTTTATTGTAGTTAAGTTTTAAAAATTATAAGTACATATTCATTTATCATAGCCATTGATAACTATAAATTTGTTATCTAATGAATGAGTCACGAAAAACTGGAAATAACCAACAATTTTAAAAGGATGACAATACAAACTACGTTTCACGACAATAAGAAAACCCAGAATTTGGCCGGGCATGGTGGCTTATGCCTGTGATCCCAGCAATTTGGGAGGTTGAGGTTGGGCGAATCACCTGAGGTCAGGAGTTCAAGATGAGCCTGGCCAACATGGTGAAACCCCATCTCTACTAATAATACAAACATTAGCTGCACATGGTGGTGTGCACCTGTAATCCCAGCTACTCGGGAGGCTGAGGCAGAAGAATCGCTTGAATCCAGGAGGTGGAGGTTACAGTGAGCCAAGACTGCGCCATTGCCCTCAAGCCTGGGCAACAGAGCAAGACTGCATCTCAAAACAATAACAACAACAAACCCCAGGATTTATTCCATATGCAAATATCTTAATCCAACAATATATTTAGCTAAACATAAACCTTTGAAGGATTGAATCCATTTATTAGGATGCAGGTAGAGGGATGCCAATGTCTTAGGTAGCATGTGTAAATAAATAAAAAATGTGTTTTCTCTTTTGATGTTGTTGTTTCCTGATTTAAGAATGAAAGGTAACTTGATTGTATTGGATCAGTAGTTTGATTCAAGTAACATCGTGGAATTCAAAAGTGCAAAGGTAAAACCTCAAAAGCATATTTAGGCCAGGCTCGGTGGCTCACGCCTGTAATTCCAGCACTTTGGGAGGCCGAAGCAGGTGGATCACTTGAGGTCAGGAGTTCGAGACCAGCCTGGCCAACATGGTGAAACCCCATCTCTACTAAAAATACAAAAATTAGCTGGGCATGGTGGCAGGCGCCTGGAATCCCAGTTACTGGGGAGGCTGAGACAGGAGGATGGCTTGAACCTGGGAGGCGGAGGTTGCAATGAGCTGAGATTGTGCCACTGCACTCCAGCCTGGGCGACACAGTGAGACTCCATCTCAAAAAAAAAAAGGGGGGGTGGTTATTCATCAGCTGTTAACTGATTTTAATTAAGATTTTGAAGAATATTCTCAAAGTCAAATTGTGTGACCATAGTGTATATAAAATGAAGACAGCAAACATCGCCTATGGAAGAAGACATAGGTTGGGCTCAAAGCTTGCACCTTTCCTCTCTCGGTAGTTCTGGCTCTGAGTCCCAGCTATGCCACTGACTCACTGCTGGACTGTTCTGTGTGTCAGTCTCTAAGCCTCGTGCCAATGTCCACTGTGTGCCTGGTATAGGTCTTGGCTCAGGCTAGGTGGCAATAAATGCTGTTGTTGGTTTGGGAGTGGGGAGTGCCATTTGGTAAAATGAAAAGAACATGGATTCCAAAGGTAGGTCTCAATTTGAATCCTATCTCAATCATTTACTAGTCATACAATCTCCAGTAGATTTTATTTTTCTAAACCTTGGTTCTTAACTTGCAAAATAGAGATAATAATATCTTCTTTGCAGGACTGTTGTGAGAATGAACTGAACTTGTGTGTGGCTGGCCCATAACAGGCATCAACAAGTGGGTTTGAATCCAAGCCCCTACCTTCATAGTCTAGACACCAGGCAGAAGAGACTAACTGCTTTGGGCTGTGAGGATGAGACAAAAAAGCAGCTCCATCTACTTTGAGAAGTCAAATGTGTCAAATGCTTGTTTTTATTTGTAAAGTAAGACACATAAACAATATTGTGTTTAAAGAATGATGGAGGGCAGGTGCAGTGGCTCATGCCTGTAATCCCAGCACTTTGGGAGGCCAAGGCGGGTGGATCACTTGAGGTCAGGAGTTTGAGACCAGCCTGGCTAACACAGTGAAACCCCATCTCTACTAAAAATACAAAAATTAGCTGGGCATGGTGGCGCACGCATGTAGTCCCACCTACTCAGGAGGCTGAGGCAGGAGAATGGCGTGAACCCGGGAGGCGGAGATTGCAGTGAGCCGAGATTGCGCCACTGTACTCCAGCCTGGTGACAGAGCAAGAGTCCGTCTCATAAATAAATAAATAAATAAATAAATAAATAAATAAATAAGAATAATAGGGCTGGGTGCAGTGGCTCATGCATGTAATCCCAGCACTTTGGGAGGCTGAGGCGGGCGGATCATGAGGTCAGGAGTTTGAGAACAGCCTGACCAACATGGTGAAACCCCGTCTCTACTAAAAATACAAAATTAGCCAGGCGTGGTGGCGCGTGCCCGTAATCCCAGCTACTCAGGAGGCTGAGGCAGAAGAATCGCTTGAACCTGGGAGGCAAAGGTTGCAGTAAGCCAAGATCACGCCATTGCACTCCAGCCTGGGTGACAGAGCAAGATTGTCGCAAAAAAAAAAAAAAAAAAAGTATTTCACAGATCCCAGAGCACCTACAAAGTAAGAGTTGTTTTATGCATTTGCCAAATCCATTGAAAATTATTTTAAGACTGAAAATAACATTTTCAAAAATTATTTGCCACCAAATGTGCCTGATCTAATTCAGTATTGGGGTGCGAACACACGCCGAAACAGTACAAAAATAGGCTTATCCCAAGCACATTAATGAAGAACATGTTATAAGATGATTTTAAACTAATCTGCAGCTCTATCACTAAGCATCTAGCAGAACACATTATAAGCGTTCTATCAGGTTATTTCTGGTGTAGACAAACGAAAAGCCAGTTTCTATTATTTGACTGGTGCCCATTTGTATTAAAGGACTAAGATGGAAAAGAGGCAAAGAATTTCCTAATTACTGATGACAATGATCTGCTGAGTCAAGTCAGAATGTGATTCAGTAAGATTGGAGGGGAAGGGAATGCAATATAATGGATGGGTACAGTATTGCTGGTACTGTGTTGAGCTGCAGGAAGATTTTGCTGACTTTCTTGAGAAGTGAGGGGATCTGGTGCCTGAGCAATCAACCATGATTCATAGTAACTTGCTACAGTGCTGTTTGAACAGAAATAAAATTTGACCTTTTTCTATGCACCCAAGCCACTCAACAAAATATATTTGTAAATACAATTCCATCTTCTGACATTGGATCTAGGCGGTTTATTTAAAAAGCTGGGTCTTTATGATTTTGTTTTGCATAGACTTAAAAAAAATTTGTGTTTGTTTTATCCAGGCCATAGATTCCTGCTCTACTGCTCTTTTTGCCTCCTGCTTCTGTTTCTCAGAAAAATAGAAAATTGACTTTGCTTTGTTCAGGGGAGTCCATGGCATGTCCACCACTCCCATTTAAGTCAGGTTAACAGGGTAAATGCTGACGATGCACTGAGTCTACTGGTTCTAAAAGCCCTTTGTATTTGCTTTACCACCTTATAAAAAGGCATGGATCAGTATTTGTGTTGACCTTGAGGCTTTTCTTCTCACACCACGCAGATATCTTAACACAGGGGTTCACACATGGTGACCGGGCAGACAGATGCGTGTGAAACTAATGTGTAGACTAAATGCAATATACAGTTAATGCCTGGTGGGAAACAGAATTTTCCTTTAATTGCCCATTTGTAAGATTGAATAAGTAGGCAGGCAGAGTGTAAACACAGCCCCATCTATAGACGTGTGTCTTGGGAACAGAAAGGATCACACATTCTTAAGCTAAGACAAAGGCTTTAGTTTGAAGATAATGTCTTTGATTATTTCAGCATGGAGGGCTATAGATAGCCTCTTGGAGGCTCCGCTAGAAAAAATTCGGAATGGATTAAGTATATATTTTCCCACTAGCTGTGTCTGAACACATCACTCACGGCTCATGCGAAATTATTTCTCTGCCAGGCGTGGTAGTGCATGCCTGTAGTCCCAGCTACTCGGGAGGCCGAGGTGGGAGGACTGCTTGAGGCTGGGAGTTCGAGGTTACAGTGAGCTATGATCATGCCACTGTACTCCAGCCTGGGTGACAGAGTGAGACCCTGTCTCCAAAAAAAGTTATTTCCACAATTCATTCCTACATTCCGGAAAAGAATAAACCATATTAATACCACATCCCAATGCTAGTATTATTAGATCTGAGTAGTGAACACATAGACTGGTATTCAGAGATTCCCCAAATCAATCTTTAATTGTTAGACATAATAAAAGTGAAAGGGCAGATTCAAGTCCAGGAACGTGGACAGATCTTAAGAAGGAAAATCTCCTTTCTTTCAATCTCCCAGCTTCTCAAACCCGTAGCTGAGTCTTGAGCAGGCAAATGACTCAGAAACGTTTATGGTCTCCCTGGTACTAAAGTACTGTATACTTAGTTTCTTAAAAGAATCTGATTCATAGTGAGCCATTCTACTGAAATTGCACGATTTGTATCCAAATAGCAATACAACCTCTATCCAATGGCTTTTGGTATATAATAAATGCTCTCCAGGCTATATGTAACATTCGTTGTTTACTATATTAGAACCAGTAGTTTGCTTTATAATTTGAATTGTATAAAGCAATACTTATACTGTGTGTCTACTAGATTTTATGAAAATAAGACTTGAAAAGATGACATTCCTCCAACAATGAAACCATGTAAATTGAAGACAGGGACCTGATTATACTATTAAGTGAAAAGCTAAGTTGCTGAACAGTCTCTAGCAGGGTCTACATCTGTTATCTGTCCATTTCTGTATTTGTGTATAAAGGAACAACAAAAGTTAGACGAAAATGTGACACCGGAATTTATCCATTTGTCTCAAAGAGGCGGGATTCCAGGAAGTTTTAATTTTCTTTTTTATGTTTTTCCTTTTATAATCAGAGGAATGTCATTTTTAAAAGGTTTGAGTTGTGGTGTAATACACATAGCATAGTTTGCCATCTTAACCATTTTTCAGTAGACAGTCAGTAGCATTAAGCATGCTCACACTGTGGTGTAACCAATCTCCAGAACTTCTTCATCTTACAGGAATGTTGTTTTTAAAAGAGAGAACCAAATACTTCTCCAGATGTATGTGTTTTGAAAAATCAAATGCAAAGTAAGTAATGGCTTAATCAGACCGAACCACCATAATTGAATAGCCTGACCAATTCGTGAAAGAACTAGCCATGGGCCTTTCACTGTCTTTTTTTGTTTTTGTTTTTGTTTTTCTGAGACGGAGTCTTGCTCTGTCACCCAGGCTGGAGTGCAGTGGTGCAATCTTGGCTCACTGCAACTTCCGCCTCAAGCAATTCTCCTGCCTCAGCCTCCTGAATAGCTGGGACTACAGGCACAAGCCACCGCACCCGGCTAATTTTTATGTTTTTGGTAGAGACGGGATTTCACCATATTGGTCAGGCTGGTCTTGAACTCCTGACCTCATATGATCCAACCCCCCACCTTGGCCTCCCAAAGGGCTTTTGATTCAGCACATGAAGAGGAAATCACGGGCAGAGCTGTAGAAATCGTATTAGAATTTCATCTGTGTAGTTCCTTAGAAAGCTTTTCATTGAACCACCTGTTTCAATTTCCATTTTTTAAAAAAATAAAATATACCTCTGTCTGTAATCACGCTACGATGAGCAGCTGACATTCTTACTCAGGACTTAGAATAATAATGCTTTAGAGTCCTGCACGAAGCCTCCAAAAGAGTGGAAAAAATACACAACCCTTCGAAACAGGTTTACTCAAGCACGGTGAGAGAGGCTGGGCGGTCATTGATTAACAGGGTATGCGTTCCTTCTCAAAGAGATGGCAAAGGAAGCTTGTTCTAAACTTTTCCACCATTTCAATGGCTACTTTCTCCTGAGTCATTAAGGGAACACTGGTATTAGGTTTTGTGTCACAGTTGTACCAAGGATACCTCGCCAGCTAAAGTTAATGCTTTTCTAAGTGCTTATGAATTAGGGGACAGTCCCGGTTCTGAGCTGAAGGAATTCTCATCTAAATGCAAATCAAGACAAGCCTGTCTAGGATGCATAAATAGGTACAGTAATTTTTCCACCATTTAATGTTCAGCCCCCCAAATGCATTTTCACACAACTCTATTGGTAAAGAAGTATCCCTTATTAGAATTAAACGACATTTGCTTTCTTCCCCGCACCGGCTGTTACATAGGTAGAAAGTGTTCAGAGTCTTGATTTGGTTGACTTAAGGCATGGGAAATAAAATGGACAAAGAGAATCATTTTCCTAACCTCTGCTTCTCCACATCAGACTTCTAAATCCACGTCCGTGCCATTTCTATTTGATGTCCCAAAGGAATGAAAGAAAATGTGCCCCAGATGGAACTGAGGTTTCATCCCAGCTCTACTTCTCCGTCCAGTGTTTTTCTAATTTAATGACACTGTCATCCTTCCTTTCATGCCAGAAACTGGAGAGTCCCCCTAGAGTCCTCTTCCCACACGCCACATATCCAGGCTGCACTTTTATAATGAATTCCTTCCTCTGAATCTCCACTCCTGTGGCTGTAATTCAGCCTTTTGTCACCTCTCACTGGGCTACTGCAGCACTTTACTGGTTTTCTGGTTTAGTCTTTTCCGCATAAATTCCAGCCTCTAGCCTGTTACTAGAGTAATCATTCCATAAAATGCAAGTCTGTTGCTGGGCGTGGTGGCTCCCAGCACTTTGGGAGGCCAAGGAAGGAGGATGGCTTGAGCCCAGAAGTTCAAGACCAGCCTGGGCAACACAGGGAGAACCTATCTCTTCAACAACAGAAAAAAAATTAGTCGGGCATGGTGGTGTGTGCTGGTAATCCCAGCTACTTAGGAGGCTACTCAGGATAGCTTGAGCCCAGGAGTTTGAGGCTGCAGTGAGCTATGATCACACTCCAGCATGAGTGACAGAGGGAGAATCTATCTCTAAAAACAAACAAATACATAAAACACAAGTCTGGGCTTGGCACAGTGGCTCACACTTGTAATCCCTTTGGATTTGGGATTACTTTGGGAATCTTTGGGAGGCTGAGGTGGGTGGATCACCTGAGGTCAGGAGTTCAAGACCAGCCTGGCCAACATGGCAAAACGCTGGTCTCTTCCAAAATTTAAAAAACAAAACAAAACAAAAAAACGACACAAATCTGAACAAGTCCCTCCTCTGGAAATCATGGCAAGGGAGGGAAGGGCAAGTTTATGCTGTTTGTCTGTGCCACTTCAAATGTGCAGCCCTTCCTTACTCAAGGAGGTTAAGGGGAAGAACAAAGACCCTTCCACCTTCACTTTATGTTACTCCAAATCTCCTCAATCAGCCCAAAAGCAGAGTGTGTAATTCTATAACGCTCTGAAGGCAAGGAGTATAATCTTCAAGTCCTAACTCTGCTGGATTATTTACCACTTGGCCAACATTTTCTTTTTGTTTTTGTTTTTCAAACAGGGTCTCAGTCCTCTCGCCCAGGCAAAATCATGGCTCACTGCAGCCTCGACCTCCCAGGCTCAGATGATTCTCCCACCTCAGCCTCCCAAGTAGCTGGGACTACAGGCGTGCACCACCAGCCCAGCTAATTTTTTGTATTTTTAAGAGAGATGGGGTTTTGCCGTGTTGAGGCTGGTCTCGAACTCCTGGGCTCAAGTGATCTGCCCACCTCGGCCTCCTAGACCGCTGGGATTACAGGCGTAAGCCACCACGTCTGGCCCACTTTGCCAGCTTAGTGGCCAGTCTGATCCTCCTTAAGGGCAGGACAAATAACTAATTCCACTGCCCTCTCCAGTGGAATGCACTCCACGTCTTTAGTGAGGCAAAGCACTACTGTTTGTCCCTTGCCTTTCTGGGGATGAGACTCAATCTGCCCCTTTGCATTGGATGTTCCAACAAGCAACTGGCTAGCAGTATAAAGGGAAGCTCTGGCACAGATTAGTCACAGATTGGCAAACTTTCTGAAAAAAGCCCAGATAGAAATATTTCGGCTTTGTGAGCCATATAGTCTCTGTTGCAGCAACTCACTCTGCTGTTGCAGCATGAAAACGGCAAGGACAATAAATAAATGAATGCACGTAGCTGTGTGCCAATAAAACTTTAATCACAAAACCAGGTGGTGGGCCAGACTTGACCCATGAGACACCATGTGCCAAACCCCTAATCAGGTATATGAGCTAAGATGCTGCGTCAACCTTGGATCAGCTGAGAATCTCGGATCTCTCCAGAGGTGACGGACAACCATGCTGAGAACACGGATTCTGGAGCCCAGCTGCCTTGGTTCAAATCTTGGCTTTAGCGTTTGCTAGCCATTGAGCCTTTGGGGGAGTAACTTTACACAATTTTATCTCATTTGAGCCTCACAGCAACCCTGTGAGATAAATCCGATATTCCCATTTAACAGAGGCCCGGGTACAGTGGGATCCAAGGTGCAGGAACTTCCCATTAGCACAGGGACATGCCGAGTCACTCTCATCTTTTAAAAGAGGTGCCCTCCCTGCCTGGGTCCCCCTCCTCCTCCAGCCAAGCCCTCACTCACATCTCCTCTTCACACCAAGCTTCTTGATAAAGCTGTCCACATCCTCCACCCTTACTTTGTCATCTCACACTCACTTTGCAACCCTCTGCAACTGGCTTCTGTCCCTGGCTTTGAAATTGGTGACAGTTTTATCATGATGGTTTCTTAGACAAGAAATACACATATTTAAGGTCTACTGCATACCTAGGTGATGTCCTTTATTGACATTGCCAGCCCAAGTTAGGGAAAAAGATAATCACGGTGCACTCTGCCTCCCAATAGAGGTGCTATATGTAGGTTACCTGTGATTCACTCTAGTGAACATCTCAACTCTACAACACCAATATTTGAGCCCTGGCCTCACCCAGGTGAAGGCAGGGTTGCCTCTCTAGGATGGAAAAATTCAATATGAACCCTAAAGTGGCCATCGTCATGGTTAAGGGATGCAGATTTTATCTTGAGAACTCTATCAACCAAGAGAGCAAAATAATACACTACTGGACATTTCCATTTTTCACCCTACACTTGCATCCCTGTGACCAAAATGATGCTAATCCAAGGCCATGCAATCTGTGCATCTGTAGGAGTAGGTATTTCATCTGTTAGTTTTGCTGCCCCGTGAGTGAAGAGGCAGGATGCACCCTTCAATGGCTTTAGCTCCAGAGTTCTGCTTCTACAGGATGCACCCCCTTTTTGCTGGGGAGACTCTCAAAGAGAGGAATGATCTCAACTGTCTCTGAGTGCTCAGTGCCTAGGACAGTGCCAAGCAGATAGGAAATGACCACTGAACAAGTGAGTCCCCTCATGGGTCCCTGGGGAGACGACAGAGGCAGGGAGTTTATCACATTAAAAAGATCCAACAGCTTTTCTTTGGAGCTCAGCTACCCTGGGGAACAGAATGAGTAAGAATCCCAAAGACCCCGGCCACTGCTCAGAAAAAAGGGCCACGCTCCCAGTCGTGTGTGTCTCTCTCTCTGCCTTCTTTCTGTTCATTGAGTCATGATTCCAACAGTGCAGGAACATAGGAAGAATGCCAATTATAATATTTTTTTGACAGCTGGGAGAATAGACACACTCTGCCTGTCTCTTCAGCACACAGGCAGCACTTGTCTAAGCGCCAGCTCTCGTGATAACCAATCCCGCTGAGAATCAGTTCTCTCTGTAGCTCCTACTCCTTGACCCAATGTGAAATTTTTCCAAACTATTTTTAAAGTATCTAATCTGTTGTGAGTCACAGACTATAGAGCTGCTAGTTTACCATTTCTGGGCAGACAGCTTTAACATCAAGACCTGATGAGGTTGTAAGGGTATTTAAAATGGCAGTCAGGAATATAAGAGCAAAGTGGTGCATATAAAGTCTTTAACTGTTCCTTAATGTCAAGCGATTTGAGATATTTATAGATTTTTTAAGTGCCTTTCTATCTTTGAAAGAAAAGGTAATTATTTCACATAACAACCTTGAAAGACTGGTCAGTGATCTTCTCCCAGATTTTCATAATAGGAGAACTAGGGGTCTTGGAGACTGACTGAATGGCAAAAGACAGTCCATTTTTAAAAACAACCCAAAGCTCTTGAGTTTATTATCCATGGCTCAATTCACTGAGCTATGCTACCTCCCCTCACACCGGATGAAACAAGTATTAGTTATCTACTGATCCATAACAAATCACCAAAAACTCAGTGGCTTCAGACAACAATAATTTATTATCTGTTATGGACTGAATTTATGTGTTATGTGTTTCCCCAAAATTCATATGCTGGATCCCTAACCTCCAATGTGACTGTATTTGCAGACAGAGCCTTTAAAGAGGTAATTAAGTGAGGCCATAGGGTAGGCCCTAGTCCAATAGGACTTGTGTCCTTAAAAGAAGGAGAGGAGCTGCCAAGGATGAAAGCACAGTGATGCCTCTGTAAGCCAAGGAGAGAGGCCTCAGGAGAAACTGAACCTGCCAACACCTTGATCTTGGACTTCCAGCCTCCAGAACCGTGACACATCAACTTCTGTTGTTTAAGCTGCCCAGTCTGTGGTATTCTGTTATGATAGTCCCAGCAAACTAATATAGTATCTCTTATGGTTTCCGTGGGTCAGGAATTCATGACCAGTTCAGTTGGACAATCCTGGTTCATGGTCTTTTATGAGGTCTCTCAGTTGGGTATAGCTGGGGCTGCCTAATCTGAAGGCTTGACTGGGGCTGGATGATCCACTTCCATGGTATGCCCTCCCATGGCTGGCAAGCTAGTGATGGCTGTTGGCAAGGGGCCGTAGTTCCTCCCTGCCTGGGCCTAATGAAACTTCTTCATTCAGTCCTAACCAACCATCCTGCAGCCTTCCCTTTAGTTTAGTTATATATTAAATATATAATAAGAAGAAATAGGACAGCCCTTATTTTCTCCTGTCAGGATTTTGGTACCATAAATTTAAAAATGAAGGGGAGAAAAATCCCATGTATTTTCCATGGTGCACTACCCAGATCCCCTTTCAGAAATGAAGGGTATTTTCCCAGCTGTTGAGAACCCTGCCAACTGACAACCTTCAACTATTAGCCGGGATTGCCCTTGGCTAAAGAGAGCTGCCTTGCCCAAGGTCAGCTCCCTGCCCAGGACAGCTGTCGTCTACTGACTGGCTGGTGTCAGAGTATAAAGGCCTAGTTTCTTTGCACCAACCTGGGATAACTCTGATGAGCCGCCCCAGCTTAGTCCTCCCTGTGGGTTAGCTGAGGCCTTTGTTGAGACTGCATTGCATCACAACTTCACCCTCTGCCCAATCTTCCTGCCTTCCCTTCTCCCACAGGTGTCAATCCTCAGAGCACTTCATGATAAACATCCTGCACACCAATCTCTTCTTAGAGTTTGTATCTGAGGGGATGCAAACCGCAACAATCTACTTTACAGGAAGATTATTCTCAGAGCTGTCAACCATCTAAAAATAGCCAAATGAACCTCCAGATTCTATCTAGTACATCATGTGTTCAACTGCAGACCTAGCTGTTGAAACCAAGTGATAAGGTAGATTGTCTTGGTAGAGATAGAGGTGTGCCTAATCCTCCACTTCTTCCTGTATCCACTCCCTCTGTAATGTGACTGCCACTTCTGCTTCATTTTGTTGGCCAAAGCAAATCATAAGGCCAACCCAGATCTGGGGAGGAGGAAACAGATTCTACCTTGGATAGGAGGAACTACCGTGTGCCTGTTCTGAGCCTAGGCCTCAAGGGACCTTGCATATACTTCTGTCTCTCTTGGAACCCTGTCACAGGCATTTGAACGAGCTGGGGCTAGCCTGCTGGAAAAGAGACCATGTGGAATTGAGACAAGTTAGCTGTTCCTGCCGAGGTCACTCTGGTCCAGCCAGTCCCCAAGTAACCTGGTAGGTGACCAAAGATGTAGTATGAATAAGCACAGTCAAGACCAGAAGAATGCCCACCCAAATTGCTGACCCACAGAATTGTGAGTTAAGTAAATGGTGGTTATGTTAAGTTTTGGGGAGGTTATTGCTATGCAGCAATAGAAAAACTGATGTAGTATCAGCTATGGTTTGGATGTGGTTTGTTCCTGTCAAAACCCATGTTGCAATTTGATCCCCCAATGTGGCAGTGTTGAGAGGTGGGGCCTAGTGGGAGGTGTTTGGGCCATGGGGGCAGGTCCCTCATGAATAGATTAATACCCTACTGCAGGGGTATCTCACAGGAATGGATTAGTTCCCTTGAGAGCAGGTTGTTAAAAAGTGCCTGTCTTCCTCAGTTTCTCTCTCTTGCCAGGTGATCTCTTTGCACATGTCTGCTCCCTTTCTGCTTTCCATGAGTGGAAGAGGCATGAGGCCTTCATCAGATGCAGCTGCTCCATCTTGAGCTTTCCAGCCTCCAGAATCATGAATCAATTAAACCTCTTCTCTTTATAAACTACCCAGCCTCAGGTATATTGTTACAGCAACATTAAACAGACAAGACTCAAATCTGCTGGATACATGAATCAGCTGGCAAAAGAAGAGCATAGAGAATTCAGACTATAGAATATGTCCTCGATTCATTTTAATGGGCTCTGGTGCACCCAGCTGCTGCAGAAGCTGCTACCGATGGCTCACACCTGCAACCTTTTTAGCAGGATCGTTCTTGGGTGATCAAAGCCATCTCAGCTGGAGGTGCATCTCCCTTGTCCTGGGACATCCTATAACTAAAGCCTGTCTTGTGTGAGGGCACAAAATCCAGCTGTCTTGCCTCAAGGTAGGGCAAATTCTGGGGCAATTTACAGCACCAATCTCCTCTGCTGTCACAGGCTGAGAGTGGATCTCATCTGCAACCACATCTTTGCTCAGCTTCTTCTTCCTTTCTCTCACCCTCTTACAGGTTCCTTCCGAGAGCACTCCCTTAATAAACAAACAAACTTGCTCCTGAAACCCCAGCTCAGGCTCTGCTTCCAATAAATCAAAAGTGAATTCCTAGGAGAAAAAGATGGGGAGCATGGGAGTGACTGCTGTGGAAGGAAATTGGAAAAGCGCTGATCATCCTAACACCTTTGCAGTAGAAGTTTTCAAACCAATAGAAGATGACTCTCCTCCCATTGGTCCAAGACAAACGTCTCCATCGCAAGTGCTTGATGTGCTCCCACTGCCTATAAGGAAACGCACTCCTTTCCTTTGTAAGACGGGAATGACACTTTCTTTTCTCTCCAATCTTTAATTTCTCCCTGCACTCACTCTTTCCCCAGTAGGGTTTGAGTCTATTCCTCTTTGTAGGAAGATGCCATCACCTCCATTCTTCTAGCTACAGCCCCTGTCCTCTCTCTCACATCAGGATACTTGAGCTATCTACACTAGAGATCACCACTTCTTTATCCCTTAATCATCAACTCACATTACATGGCTTCTGCTGTCGACCCTGCCACTAAAAGTATCCTTGCCGAAGTCACAACGACCTTATGTTACACAACTAGTTGGCTGCATTTGATGTCACTCAACACTCTTAGTATGTGAAACACGATTACACACATTCCCTTTGCTCCTGTGATGCTGTGTTCACTTGGATTTCTGCCTCATTTCCAGGGAATTCAGAATCCGTTTTTTTCGATTGTCCCTTAGATGTCCACGTGTTTTCTGGTTCTCTTTTCACCTGCCATACATTTCTATGAATTATTTCACCTACTATTATAGCACCAATTGCCACTTATATCTGAATGATTTTCAAATTGAAGTTCCAGCTCCAGACTCAATATCCACTTGCCCTTTGGGCACCTCGACTTAAATGTGCCACAGGCGCCTTATTGGACTACCACCACCTACACACACACCTGTGCACACACCTGCATGCACACACACCTGTGCACACACTTGCACGCACACACCTGTGCACACACTTGCACACACACACACCTGTGCACCTGCAGGCACACACCTGTGCACACACCTGCATGCATACATACTTGCACACACAGTTGCATGCACACACACCTGCATGCACATACCTGCATGCACACACACCTGTGCACACACTTGCATGTACAACTTGTCACACACCTGCACACACCTGTGCACACACACTTGCATGCATACACACCTGTGCACACACCTGCATGCACACACACCTGCATGCACACACACCTGTGCACATACCCGCATGCACACTCACCTGCATGCACACATACCTGCATGCACATACACCTGCATGCACACACACTTGCATGCACACACACCTGTGCACACACCTGCATGCATGCCCACATACACCCACACACATGCACTCACATATACACCCTGCCCTCTTCCTCCTCTGCTCCATACCCCCAGAGCTGGAACTATCATCCATCCACTTTTCCATGGCAAAACCTTTGGAATCACCCCTGATTTGTCTCCTTCCCCTTCAATTAATCAACCACTACCTTCCAAATTCCTTTCAATTTTACCTTCAAAATTGCCCTCTACTTTTAAACACGATTCCATTTCTTTCTACCTTCAGCTGCAACCTGGGCCTAGATTACTTCACACTGCATCTCGTCTGGGCTCCTGTTCTAACCACCTCCAATCTAATTTCCATAACCAGTTAGGGGATCACCCTAAAATGCACAGCTGATTATTGCTTTTCCCTGTTGAAAAGAATTTCGACTTCCTCTGGGATCAGCTCTTCCACTCATCAAGATAGGATGGGGTTTCCTCCCACAATAACGGAACGGGTTCTATCACACTCCATTGTAATGAATTACCTGTCTGTTCTTCCCAAAGAAACAAAAGCTCCTTCCTTTGTTCAATTAGTAGATATTCACTGACACCTTCCTATGCATAATGCACGGAGCTGTTAATCAAATGGTAAATAAAACAAACATTGGCCTTTTCCCATTAGCAGGGCTCACATATTTGTCATCCTATTACCCATGCTAGCAGTTTTAGGCACATAAGTTGCTTAATAGGTATTTGCTGAATAAATACATGATAAAATGAGTGCTGTTGGCCGCGCGTGGTTGGCTCACGCCTATAATCCCAGCACTTTGGGAGGCCAAGGTGGGCGGATTCACCTGAGGTCAAGAGTTCAAGACCAGCCTGGCCAACATGGCAAAACCCCGTCTCTACTAAAAATATAAAAATTAGCTGGGTGTGGTGGTGCATGCCTGTAGCCCCAGCTACTTGAGAGGCCGAGGCAGGAGAATTGCTTGAACCCAGAAGGCAGAGGTTGCAGTGAGCTGAGATCGCGGCAAGGCACTCCAGCCTGGGTGACAGAGCTAGACTGTCTCAAAAAAAAAAAAAAAAAAAAAAAAAAAGGAGTGCTGTCTTCTAAAGACTAATTTTCTCCATTCCATTCCCTATTTTAGAATAAAATTCATGGGAACAGATTTTATAAAAATGATCTTCATGGTCGATGTTTACAGAAAGTATCTTTTTATTACAAAAGGCAGAGATAAATTACATCCAAATATTTTCAGACCATCAAAAGTCTTTAAGTAACTCACATTCCTCCACAGAGATTATCCTGGTAGCCAAATTAACAGAATCAGCCAAGCACATAAGGAACTTAGCACATAAAGATACTCAATAAAATCCAATTATAAAGGAGCAAATTTCTACGAACTTGAAACTACCACCCACCCTGCTGCCAGAATGTAATGATATGTTCTCTGCATGCCAAACATATCTTCTCCCAAAAGATAACAACTGTTTTGGGTTGAATAGCGTCCTCTGAAAAGAGGTTGAGGTTCTAAGCCCTGGTACCTGTGACTGCAACCTTATTTGGAAGCAGAGTCTTTGCTGAGTAATCAGGTTAACCTGCTGCCAGGATGCTGAAAGCAGAAAGGGCTTGAGCCAAACCTTGGCCACAGAGGCTGTGAATGACGCAGGTGAAGGCAGCCCTTGCTGGCCTGAGGGCTGAAACTTACAAGTGGGGTGAGGGGCTTGCTTACCATCAGGTAACCAATGGGGACATTCTCTTCCATTCCTTGAAATACACCCTTTCAAAATGTAAGTGGGGAGCCTTGGGCCATCAGCCTGATTTTCAGAAGCTCAAATGACATAAAAATTGGAGTCTTGACCAGATCATTCCTCTTTTTGGTTTATGGTGATAAATATACATAAAAGTTACCATTTGAACTTTTTTTTTTTTTTTTGAGATGGAGTTTCACTCTTGTTGCCCTGGGATTACAGGCGTGAGCCACCTCTCCCGGCCACCATTTGAACTATTTTTTTTTGAGAAGGAGTCTCGCTCTGTCGCCCAGGCTGGAGTGCAGTGGCGCCATCTCGGCTCACTGCAAGCTCTGCCTCCTGCGTTCAAGCGATTCCCCTGCCTCAGCCTCCCAAGTAGCTGGGATTACAGGTGTCTGCCATCACGCCCGGGTAATTTTTTGTATTTTTAGGAGAGACGGGGCTTCACCGTATTAGCCAGGATGGTCTCGATCTCTCGTGATCCACCCACTTCGGCCTCCCAAAGTGCTGGGATTACAGGCGTGAGCCACTGCGCCCAGCCACCATTCGAACGATTTTCAAGTGTACAGTTCAGTTGCAGCAAGTACATTCATACTGTTGTTCAGCCATCACCACCATTCATTGCCCCAACTCTTTCACTTTTCCAAACTGAAACTCTGTCTCCGTCAAACACTAACTCATCTTTTCCCCTCCCCCCAGCCCCCGGTACCCACCATTCTACATTCCGTCTCTATTTGGATGACTCTAGGGACTCCTATAAGTGGCATTATGCAGTATGCGTCCTTTTGTGACTGGCTTATTTCACTCAGCACAAGGTCCTCAGGGCCCCTCCGTGTCACTCCCTGCGTCGGAACTTCCTCTCTTTTTAAGGCTGGGTACTATTCCATCATCTGTATACACCACATTTGTTTATCCATTCACGACATTTGGATTGTTGTTGAAATCCCACTCGACTGCACACTCCTGCTGCCAGCCGCGTGCTGGGCACAGGGCACGTGCTCTGGGTCAGCTGCTGAGTATGGGACACAGCTGAGCATACTCACTCTCTCTCTGACCCCAGGACACTCCCTCTCTGATCACCGTGGCAAGCCTGGAAGGACCTATACTTGTTGGCCTTGACCAAGGGCTGCGTGGTTGTGTGGGGTATAAACAGTTGGGTTATAAGGAGATAAGAACACCACTTTCCTGTTACACTCGCGGGGAGGAAGCTGACAGCAAACCCAGAGCACTCCCTGTATTCTCTTTTCTTTCAACTGGGAAGGCTCTGGGCTTGTCCCCAGCACAAAGCTGCTGCCGTCAAACATCAGGGACTCGTGGAAGAGCCCTGCGTCTGTGTCTGTCACTATCCCTTCAAATGATCTCAAATAAATCGTGGTTTTCTCGTCAAACCACTGTCTCTTCTTAAATGGGGTTATTCTAATCCATGATCCCTAGTCAAAGCCTAATTTTCTTTTCTAGAAGGTTCTCCCTTCCCTCTCCCTTAATGTAAACACTGACAGTACTCCAGGCTCAGCCCAGCAGGTGACGTGCCTTGAAGCTGTCATTGCCCTTATCAGACCAGCGGTTTTCCGTTTCTCCCTCCTGTAGGGCCGACTGTGCCACTCATTATCCCGGCGAAACCGCTCTCCCCCTTTACTGAGCTGTTTTGCCCCAGTACTGTTCAGTTCCCAATCAGATTGTAAGCTCTAGAAGGCAGGAACAATAACTTGCAGTTTAACCTTTGGCACCTGAAATAATACTTTGCTACACCTGTGTTTAATAAAATAACTGAATGAACAAGAATAGGAATAGTATGTTCTCAGCATGGCAACGCATCTTCTCCTAAAAGATAACAACTGTTACAGATTGGACCGTATCTCCTAAAAAGAGATGTTGAAGTTCTAAGTCCCAGTACCTGTGAATGTGACTTTTGGAAATAGGGTCTTTGTAGATATAATCAGGTTAAGATGATAGGGGTGGGCCCTCATCCAATGTAGCTTGTGTTCTTTTTTTTTTTTTTTTTTTTTTGAGACAGTGTCTCGCTCTGTCACCCAGGCCGGAGTGCAGTGGTGCAATCTCGGCTCACTGCAACCTCTGCCTCTGGGTTCCCACGGTTCTCATGCCTCAGTCTCCTGACTAGTTGGGATTACAGGTGCCCACCACCACGCCAAGATAATTTTTTGTATTTTTAGTAAAGACAGGGTTTCACCATGCTGGCCAGGCTGGTCTGGAACTCCTGGCCTCAAGTGATCCACCCACCTTGGCCTTCCAAAGTGCTGGGTTTACAGGCATGAGCCACCGCACCTGGCCTTGTATTCTTATAAGAAGGAAATTGGGATGCAAAGAAAGACAAAGGGAAGATGGCTATGTGAGAACGGGACAGAGACTGGAGTAACACTGTCACAAGCTGAAGCTGGAGAAGGCAAGGAAGAACTCTCCCTAGAGGCTTTGAAGAGAGTGTAGCCCTGCCAACACCTTGACTTTGGACTTTTGGCCTCCAGAACAGTGAGACAGTACATTTCTATTGTTTTAAGCCATCCAGTGTGTGGCACTATGTCATGCCCCAGTGACATGCGACACTAATGTGACAACTGAATGGAGTGGTTCCAGCCATACAGGTAGACCCAGGGATGTGGCTCTCACAGTGTCGCTGGGCACGGGAATAATACTGGGTACCTGCGGTAATTAAACCAGCAGTGACAGCTGGGGTCTCAGTAGGGCCCACTGTGTTGAAACAGAGAGTGCTTAAGTGCTTAGTGAAGCCACGGAGATTCGCTGCCTCGGTCTCAGGAAGTGCTGGAGGCTGCACACGTCTGTCGCTCCATCCCACTCCTCTATGAAATGCTCCCCTTCCAAAGAGGGCATCCTAAGTCTGATGATGTCATCAGACTCAAAATCTTAAACCTCTAGAATAACACTTCTGTTTTACTTTTTTTTTTTGCTTTACCTATGACATTTTATGAATACTGTAGTATCCCAAGCAAGGTAAATTCAAATAAAGCTTTCAATGAATGATTTTTAAGAAGCTGAGGGGAAAAAAACCTCCTCCTGGTCATGTCCCAGATGTTACCATTTTTCATTTTGTTTCTTTTTTTCTTTTTTTTTTCAGACAGAGTCTGCTCTGTTACATAGGGGCTGGAGTGCGGTGTCATGATCTCAGCTCACTGCAGTGTCTGCCATCTAGGTTTAAGCAATTCTTATGCCTCAGCCTCCCGAGTAGTTGGGATACAGGTGCACGCCACCACACCCAGCTAATTTTTGCAGTTTTGGTAGAGACAGGGTTTTGCCATGTTGGCCAGGCTGGTCTCGAACTCCTGGCCTCAAGTGATCTGCCTATCTTGGCCTCCCAAAGTGCTGGGACTACAGGTGTGAGCCACCGCACCCAGCTATTTTTTGTGTATTTCCATTTGCTATTGTGCCCTCACCATTTCTCCCTCAGCCTGTGATTTATGGTACAATATCCTGAAGATGTCGGGAGCACACGACCTCAGCCTCGGCTGCAGATAGACTGCTCAGCTTGGGGCAATAACTGCTCTGCCCTCCCTCTGCCACCCGGCAGCCCCACCCACAGAAGGGCCCAGACTTACGGCTTTGGAGGGAGCATAGTGTGTCGGTGATGCCAGTGGAGGCCTGGTCGGGCTCTGGAAGGAAGACGGGCAGAACCTCTGCCCTGTGTCCGGGGGGGAAGACGAGGCATAGATGCGATTCTCTAACCGTTCAGGCTCGTGCTTATAGGATTCCAGGGGAAACGTGTGCTGCTTGGTCACTTGGGTGGGTGTTGACGGAGAGGAGGAGAGGCCGGAGGCTGCAGAAGAAACACCAAGGACGGTCAGAGGTCCGGCTTCCAGGAAGGGACGTCGGGGGTGGTCAGAGGTCTGGTCTCCAGGAAGGGAGATGGGGAGAGGTCAGAGGTCCGGCCTCCAGGAAGGGACGTCGGGGGCAGTCAGAGGTCCGGCCTCCAGGAAGGGACATTGGAGGTGGTCAGAGGTCCCGCCATGGCAGAGGGAGGCTCTCACCATTCCTGGTGCCCAAAACCTCAAATGGCAAGAAGCCAAATTATTCTGAATGTTGAGGAAAAGCTTTAAAAACCAATTTCTAGTCTCTTAGAATCAGCTGTTTCCAGAAACGCCTCACTATCCACGCTCGGTTGTGGGCAGCATCCCCTCATTGGGAACGGGGTGCTCACACGGTCCCGAGTTATCTGGTGAACTTTTACACACACCCTCCAGAGGCTATTTTCCTCCATTCAGCCAAATATCATTTGATCTCCTCTCCTTCTTTCCCCAGCATGGCGCCAAGAGCAAACGCAGTGGTGCCTTATTTATTGAGGTAAAACATGGGGAAGTTCGGAAAATGTGCAGCAGAGATGCAGGCCAATGCTGCAGAAGCCATGGGACCATGTATCTGAGGAGGGGGAGGGGGAGGGGACGGGAGGGGAGGGGAGGGGAGGGGATGGATGTGTTATTCCTACCAAAACGTGCAACATGAACATCACCACTGTAAGTTCCCAGTAGCAAGACTTCACTGCGAAGATAAATACCCAAGGAGACTTCAGGGAAAGGGTGGGACTGGAATGGGGTCTAAAAAGTGAAACAGATTTAGATGGTCAGGAAAAGGGAGGGGGCAAATAATGGGAGGGGCAACGGTGTTAGTGGAGGATTGTAGGAAGACTGGAGACATGAATCTTCTGGGAGTTAAAGGTTCTCCACTTTGACTTATTTCTAACTAACAGAAACAACTCTATTTCTTCCATAGACTTATTTATGTAATTTTTAAGTGGCGAGTGTACACCTAATTCATTACCATGGTGCTTTTGAAAGCAGAGCTGGAGATGCAGAGGCTCGTCAAGAAGAGGTTAAATAAATCATGGCACAGTGCACAGGTAGGATGTGACCTGTGAATGTGACCTTATTTGGAAACAGGGTCTTTTCAGATCAACCAAGTCTAGATGAGATTTTGCTGGACTAGGGTGGGCCCTAATGCAATGTGACTGGTGTCCTTATAAGAAGAGGAAAAGAGACACAGAAACGGATACCCAGAGGGAAGGCCTCGTGCTGGCAGAGGCAGCGATCGGAGCAATGCAGCTGCAGCCAAGGCGCGATGGGGATTGCTGGCAAACCCAGAAGCCAGGGCGAGGCAAAGAGGAATCCTCCCCTACAGGTTTCAGAGAGAGCGTGGCGCTGCCAACACCTCGATTTTGAACTTCTGGCCTTCAGGACAGGGCTAAATTTTAGTTGTTTTAAGCCACTCAGTCGGTGGCACTTTGTTATAACAGCCTGAGGAGACTGATGCAATGCATGGATTGTGTTCTAAGAGAAGCAGAATCTGGCTTTGGGTCTGATATCTCAAATCTCTTTTTCTTTTTTTTTTGAGACAGAGTTTTCACTCTTGTCGCCCAGGCTGCAGTGCTGTGGTGTGATCTCAGCTCACTGCAACCTCTGCCTCCCGGGTTCAAGCGATTCTCCTGCCTTAGCATCCTGAGTAGCTGGGATTACAGGCACCTGCCACCAGGCCTGGCTAATCTTTTAAAAATATTTTTAGTAGACATGGGGTTTCACCATGTTGGGCAAGCTGCTTTCGAACTCCTGACCTCAAGTGATCTGCCTGCCCCGGCCTCCCAAAGTGCTGGGATTGCAGGCATGAGCCATCACACTCACCCTCTGATATCTTACATCTTACAGGTAGAAAAATAAAATTTTAAAATAAAATTTGAATTATGCAAGTCAAACCAAAGATGTCAGTGAACATGCCCTGTTAAATTACATGTAGCCTAGAGCTGCCTCCTTAAATATTTTAAGTTTGGCCTAAAGGGTTTTCTGTACATTGTGAACTGTAACAGACCATAGCCTACATTCGTGCCAGCCAGAGTTTTGGCAATCACATGTAGCCAACTGTTCCAACCGTGTTCAAGTAAGACAAATGCTGAGCTGTAACCAATCCAGGTGTTTCTGTGCCTTACTTCCGCTTTCTGTGGTCACTTTCCTTTTTCTGTCCATCAATCTTCTTCCACCACATGGCTGAGAGCTGGGCTCTCGGAGTCTACTCTGGCTCAGAAGGCTGCTCGATTTGCGAATCGTTCATTGCTCAGTCAAACTCCTTTAAACATAATTCGGCAGACGTTTTCCTTTTATCAGGTCCTAGAGCCACCAGTCACTGTTTCTGGTCTGGACAAGGCTGCGTCACCTACAGAGCCACAGGCCTGGTTCACTCTCCCCAGGCATCTCTGCTGGGTTCCTCCTCCTCGCAGCTCCCAGAACCACCCGTGTCCCTCCTGCTCCATCCTCATGGGGAAGGACCTGTCCTCCTGTCCCTCGTGTCACCAAACTCATAAAGCCTTTTCACTGTCCTGTATGTTACCACTTAATGACAAACTGTTTAACGTTCAAACCAAACATAAAAGTATGTAAGTCCCCTCTCCCCACCAAGATCTACCGTCTGTCTTGGGGACGGGGGTCCTGCCACTCCCTCTGGGCCCCAGGGCACCCAGTGCTGTCCTGAGCCAAGGGGTCTGGCAAATGCCTGCTGCCACCAGGCAAGGAACAGAAAGAACAGTGAGAGGACCGGCTCAAGGTCAGGGTGAATCTGTTCCTCTCTGTGGAGAGTGGGGCGCATGTTTTGTTTTGTGTGTCCGGGGGAGGTTTAGGAAGTCACCTATTAGAGAAGGAGCCCCCTTTTCCAGGGAGTCCCTTCAGGAGACTGAGCAGTGTGAGTGGAAAGCCCTCTGGAAGCCCCGGGCTGGCACTTGGGAGGCAGCTCTGGGTGGAAGCAGGAGGAGAGGGTTAGGACCCGAAACTTAAAATGTAAAAGGCCCTCACAACAAAGTCCCAAACTCTTGAAAAATAGAGGCCAGGTGCAGTGGCTCATGCCTATAATCTCAGCATTTCAGGAGGCTGAAGTGGGTGGACCACCTGAGGTTAGGAGTTCAAGACCAGACTGGCCAACATGGCAAAACCCCATCTCTACTAAAAATACAAATATTAGCTAGGCGTAGTGGCGCGCGCCTGTAGTCCCAGCCACTCCAGAGGCTGAGGCAGGAGAATCGCTTGAACCCAAGAGGCGGAGGTTGCAGTGAGCTGAGATTGTGCCACTGCATTCCATTCCAGCCTGGGTGACAGAGTGAGACTCTGTCTCAAAAAAAAAGAAAAAAAAGAAAAGTAGAATATTTTCCCCCAAAGGTCTTGAGAAGAAAACCCTGCTTTGAGGTGGGGTGGGGAGGAAGGAGAGGGAAGAGGAAGAGTGGGAAGGTCCTGATGTGGTTTAGCAGCTCTTCAGAGATGGGGGTGTGTCAGCAGGCAGGACCACAAAAGGGCTGCCGGCCCATCCGGACCCTTCTCAGGGCCAGGCTCCAGCTGCTTGGCACTGAGAAATAGAGACAGTAGCCAGGGCTCGGGGAGGCCTGCCCGGGGCCTCTCAGGGGGATCTGCAGGGGCAGAGCAAAGAAGCCTGTGTGCTATTTTGTGTGTAGTGTGGGGCACTGCCTGGGGCCTTAGACCCCAGAGTCATATCCTTCAGTGGTTCCTGCAGCAACAAAGTCTCCAGCAGGGGCTCGTCCTGGTCCCACAATGCACCTAGGACAGGCTATCTCCTCTCCTGAGAGTCAAGAGGGAATGTTCTCATCCTCCTCTCCCAGCCCCTTTCCCCACTGGACACAGGGCCCCTTCAGTGGCACTTCCCGGGGGCTGTGCCCCTGCTTCCTGTAGGCATGTGCAGGGACCTGATGGGGCAGAGCTGAATAGGATGTGGTGGGGGGCGTTTTAGGTTCAAAAACCTGTGCCACCCCCCACATCCTCATGACCTGTGACAGCCCTGCAGAGAAACCCCTCTGGGGGGCTGGGGTCTTCGTGTGTAAAGGAAGGGGCCAGCCACAGAGATCTCTAAAGCCTCCTCCATGGACAATGCTGAAAAGTAGCTATGTCCATCCCTGAGCAGGGCATGATCAAAACTAGCCCTGGCCAGGTGCGGTGGCTCATGCCTGTAGCCCCGGCACTTTGGGAGGCTGAGGGAGAAGGATCACTTGAGCCCAGGAGTTTGAGACCACCTAGGGCAACATGGCAAGACCCTGTCTCTATTAAAAAAAAAAAAATTGGCCAGATATGGTGACATATGCCTGTAGTCTCAGCTACATGGCGAGATTGCTTGAGCCCAGGAGTTCAAGGCTGCAGTGAGCTAGGACTGCACCACTGCACTCCAGCCTGGGTGACACAGCAAGATCCTATCTCACAAAACACAACACAACAAAATGAGCCCAAACTGCACCCATGCAGGCATTGGGCAAAGGCCCAGAGGAAACAGGTACTCTGTGGTGCCTATCTAGGCACCACTGATCAAAACCACAAACGCGCATGTTCCTGGACCCAGTAATTCCATTTCTGGGGCCATAGACTTATTTGTGTAATTGCTAAGTGTCGACTGTACTAAGTGTCGGCTTATTCATTACCATGGTGCTTTTAAAAGCAGAGCCTGGAGACGCAGAGGCTCGTCAAGAAGAGGTTAGATAAATCATGGCCCATCTGCAGGCACAGGCAGCCACCATTCCTGTCGGAACATGACAGGGATCCTCGTTCCTTTCATCTCCAAGATGGAGCGGTAAGTGAAGAAAGCCAACTGCAGAGCCATCTGTATCGAATGATACCATTTGTAGTTTTGAAAAAAGGAAAGAAAGTATCTATATTCTGCCTGTCTGATTTTGCCTAGACTATCTCTGGCAGGATCTGGAAACACTGGCTGTCTCCAGGGAAGGGAACAACTGGCAGGGAGGACTTTCATCATATCCCCTTTTTGATTTTTCAAACTTTCTATCATGAGAATGGATTATCCATTCAGAAAATTACTTCTTTTCAGCCACTGCTTTGCTTTTGAGCCAAGAGGCTGGCGAAGGCCATATTTAAGCACTGACCTGCTTCCTGCCCTGCCTGCCCCGACGCGCCCCCCAGCTCTGTGCAGGGGTGTCTCCCACGAGGACCAGGACCAGGACCTCTGTCCTGTCTCCCACTAGAATCAGGGCCATGGCTGTGCCTTCCTGAGCTGTCCTCTCCCTTGCTCTTTCTCTTCGAGAAGTTTTTCCACTTCCAACATTCTTCAGGGATGAAGCTTAGTCACTGTTGTGCAAGGGATGTTCACAGCCCATGAAAACTCCTTGCTAGTTCTTTGGGTACAGAACGTTCATCTTTCAAGTAAACAGTTTAAAGAGAATGCAACTGTGACCAAGCCCCTCCCCACCCCCTGCCGAGAGCTCTTAAGAGCACAAACCACGGTGTCCGCTCCTCCCATGGCCCTGTCCCCTTGCAGGCCACCCCCGTGTGAGTACTGGAATGATCCTAACCCAGTCCCAAAGGAGGTGAGAGAGGTGGCGGGATGCAGGAGTGAACCTCTGGGGCCGAGGAGATGAGAAGGTGGACTGTTCATTTGGGGGTGGGAACACCTCATTTCTGGTGGGGCTGAATGATTCTCTATCATTGCCATCTTTCCAAGTTCAGAAGCTGCTCCCATCTTTCCACCTGGCCTTCCTGTTCCTTCCAGAGCTGGTGACTCCTGTGGGGAAAACAGGTGGCACTCTGGACTACAGAGGGGGAAGGGAAACTTTTAGAGGAAGGGACAGGTGAAATGCTGAGACTCACAGTGTGTGCATTAGGGATATGTGTGTAGTTAGGGGCATGGGGAGTGAACCCTCCTGGAACCTAACATATGCCCTATCTGTTGACTGATACCCGAAATGTTTTTAAGAGGGGGTAGAGTCTTGCAGCATCAACACTTTTTTTTTGTTTTTTGCACGATGCCACCCTGTTTACAGAGGGCTTACACACTCTGGCCCCCTCTGCCCCTCACAGATGAAGAAACTGGTAGCTGGAGAAAGTTCAGCTACTTATCCATGGTCCTTTAGCGAATAAATGGCAGGGACCACACCTCAGCTCCACTGTCCTGACTCTATAACCCAGACACTTTCTGCCACAATCAAACTGGGGTATCACCGAGAGAAAGAACATGAAGACTTAAAATTACATTTTAGCTGTATGAATTACTCTCCCAGAAGTGGGGCTTCACGGGGCCAACAGGAAGGAGAGCTTGGATGACACTGGGTGACTGCAGAGGGAAAGAAGAGGTGCCACAGAAGAGAGAAGGGCACAGAGACGGAGTGAGCTTGGGACCCCATGTGCTTCCTAAGGTGGGACAGCCCCATGTAGGGAGGGACAGGCTTCCCCCAAAGAGGGTTTTCTTCCATGCCAGCCAGGAAGGGTAGACCAACAAAGAAGTGACTTCTACTCAGGTTTATGCTATTCAATCAGTAGAGAAACAACTGTCTTATGAGTCAGGTAAGGTGGGTAGTAAGAATGATTCCTAAGCTTTTTTTCTTTTCAATGTTGGTATCACTATTCATAAATAAAAGGGAAAATGGGCAATGCTGACACAATCCCTCATTACTTTTTTTGAGACAAGGTCTCACTCTGTGGCCCAGGCTGGGGTACAATGGTATGATCACGGCTCACTGCAGCCTCAAACTCCTGGGCTCAAGTGATCCTCCCACCTCAGTCTCCTGAGTAGCCGGAACTCCAGGCAAATACCATTACACCAGCTAATTTTTTTATTTTTGTAGAGATGGCATCTTACTATGTTGCCCAGGCTGGTCTTGAACTCCTGGTATCAAGTCACCTCCTGCCTCAGCCTCCCAAAGTGCTGGGAATATAGGTGTGAACCGCCATGCCTGGCCCCCCATTACTTTTAAATAGACCAATGTATTTCTTAATCATAAGGTCAACTGCTGAACTCAACCTTGGGTCTGATCAGTAAATGAATAGTTCCTGGACAGCTTCCACGGGCCAAGTATGCTGGGGGTGTTGAGGAAGGAGGTGCTAAGATGGATTAGAGCAAGTCCCTGTAGTCTGTAGGAGAAATGGGGACAAAACCAAAAAATCAGCCCCAACACCACCATGCAATAAAGTCGAGAACCAGGAAAGCAGGGGGGAGCTCAGGGAAGAGGAGAGGGCCTGAGGGTGGGGGTGGGACGGTGGCTCAGAAACCCCAGGAAAGAGCTGGGCCCCGATCCTGGAGGAGGACACAGGTCTGCCCCGGCCCAGGGGCCTCTCCTAAGGGCCCAGGCAGAACTGGGCCATGGCCAAAGTCACCCAAGAAGGCTCTGGCCAAAGGACAGACAGGTGCCCCCTTTCTGTTCCTTCTGAGAAGACATCTCCTCCTTTTTCCTGCTCCTTAAGGACTTTGTTTAGGACGCCGCCAGCCTCTGCAGTGAACAATGCCTTTGATTCTCCCAGGGCGGCAGCCAGGCCCAGTGAACAGCCCAGCGAGGGAACAGAAACTGCTCCTGGCAGCCACACAGAACACCACGAAAGGGGGTCCAGACACTGGGGAGCCATGGGCTGGTGACTTCACAGGGCCTGGCCCTGCTGGCAGGCGCTGGAGAGGAGGAGGAGGAGAACAGAGGTGCCACCAAAGGGAACTGAGCCCTGCTGGAACGGAATAGCTGTGCTGGGTGGAAACAGAGGCCTGGCCCTCAGAAGCCCCAAGCTCTAGGTCTGGTTTTACCACTAAGTTGCCATGGGCTCTGGGACAAATCCACCCCTTGCCTTGGTAAAAATAAACCAGGTAGACCAGATGCCTATCTGGTGCAATCCGGCCCCTCCACTGCGTAAATGGAATGAGCTAGAGCCTCATTCCTGCCTGAGGAACGGAACGACAAGAAGGAAGTAATGTATTCTGCTGACTGTTGTTACAAGAGCCATGAAGTGAGAAGAGCAACATTTCCATTGACACTGGAGGGAGGCTTTGCTTATACAGGGTTTTGAAACCTCCTACCACTCATCAGAGTGAGGGGCCAGGTGTTGTTCCCTACTTTGGAGGGAGGATGGCGAGCGCCGTGAGGGGGAACGGTGGCCCAGGGAGGTGCCCAACGAAAGTGCCACAGCCAGAGAGGGACAGGAGTACCTGTGCTGAGTAGCTGTAGCACACAGAGGGATGCAACCAGCAGGCAGGCGGAGACCCTGGGCGGCGCGAGACCCTGTGTGACACAAGTTCAGGCCAGGCAGGTGACCCAGAACCCAGCCTCTGATGTCTGCTTAGGACTCTGTTTTCTCAAGGAGCAAACCCACTGCTTCAATGTTTTGGCCCTTTCTCAGGTGCCCTCTGGCCTGGCTCCTACACCCTCTCCCCGCACGGCCCCTATTGCCCGCAGGTTTTACCTTCCACCCCTCATTCCAGAGCCCTACCCTCCAGGGCCGCTGGAGCTGAGTGCCCAGCCCTCTGACTCCAGAATGGCTCTGGGCAGTGCAGGCAACTGCAGGAGGCTGGGGGAGCCAGGGAATAGAGGGGCAGTATCCTCAGGGACCCTGCCTGCCATGCCTCCAGCAACTCCTCTTCCCCTCGTCGCTCCAGGCCTGGGCGGTAATGACTCCTGAAACCCTGCCCACACCCCTGGGAAAAGCCCCTTCAGAACCCCAGCTGAATGTCCTTGTTTCCTGCCCCCAACGATACAGTTTCCAGCCTCCACTCCCAAACCAGGATAAGGACTGGCCAGCACCGTGGAAGCAGCTGAGCTCTGGGGCCAGAAACCTGGGCTGGACCCTAAGTCACCACTCGCCAGCTATGTGGCCTCAGAGGAGTCAGCTCAGAGGCTTGCTTCATTCTTTGAACATCTGAGCTGCCCGTGGGCTTTGTGTGATGAGTAAGAGGTAAGAAGCAAAGCACCCTAGGACACTGAATGATAAGGCCCGTATTCAGTATGGGCAGCTGCCATTGATAGCAGGTGACGTCTCCGGGAGAAGACCCTGCTGGTCGGAAGCTCAGAGCCAGCTCTAGCTTCTGCCTTGCCTGGGGGACAGGAGTGTGACACACCTGAAGTTCAAGCTGCAGCTCACCCCTGGCTGACTCCACCCTGCGGCCCCTCCACACAGGCTCAGTGTGGAGGTGAGAAATCCCAGCTGAGCCCTCTCTGACAAGTTGGGGTCTCCTCCAGGCAGTCCTGGCCATAGCCATCCCAGTGCCCCCAGCCACAGTCAGCCACAATGCACTCTGGAAGCTGTTCCTGAGGGCGTGGAGGCCAGTCCCTGGTTTCTCATCACCTGGAGACGTAAGAAATTGGAAAAAGCTGGTCACCCCCAAGACAAGCTCCAGGTGCCACACGTCAGTTCATTGAACAGCGCCTGGACCAGGGTGACTTTAGGTATCAGTACCACTTAGGCCCAGGAGTCCACTTCCTCTATAACCCACTGCAGGCTGCTGTTTCATTTGCACAGAGGCAGGAATACCCTACACAGAGCGGGCCTGCCTGAGCCTTCAGCCATTTCTTCTCTTTCCCCCCAGCCCAGGGTGGGAGTGGCGAGGTCATCTTCAAGACCATTCTACCATTCTCCACCCTCCGTGTTGGTGGATGCATTCCAGAATGATCCATTCAACCTGAACTATTCTACCTCCCACAGCCCCAGCTGCCCAATACTTCTCTGAAAGAAGCCTGTCCTCAGGGCCACCCCACCAACACCCCTATCCCATGCTCAGCTTCTCTTTGAGAACTGCTGTGGTAGACAAATATTTCAGCTTCAGCACCCCTTTACACTCTTGAAAAATAGGGTGTTTAACATATAATGAGTTTATGGTTGTCATTTATAAATGAATTAATGTTTAAAATTTTCTCAGTTTTAATTTCTAATATAGGCTAGGTTCGGTGGCTTAGGCCTATAATCCCAGCACTTTGGGAGGCCGAGAAGGGAGGGGCTGGGAGCTCAGGAGTTCAAGATCAGCCTGGGCAACATAGTGAGACCCCCATTTCTACAAAAAATAAAAAATTAGCTGGGCATGGTGGCCTGTGCCCTTGGCCCCAGCTACTCAGGAGGCTGAGGAGGGAGGATTGCTTAAGCCTGAGAGGTTGCGGTTGCAATGAGCCACAACTGCGCCGCTGGACTCCAATCTGGGTGACAGAAAGACCCTGTCTCTAAAAAAAAAAAAAAAAATTCTAATATGGTGAATATTGATTCATATGACCCACAGAAATAAAAGCTCCTTGGGATCCTCATTTTTTTAAAAGTAACTTCTCAGCAATCTATATTTTTTAAAACAAAACAAAAAATAAGTGGCATTTTTACTTTTTGCAAATGTCTTGAATAGCTGGCTTAATCGAAGATGCTAGGTTTATGTATCTGCTAGTGCCCTCTTTCCCTGTGAGACGGTTTTGCTCTAAACCCTTGTCTGGGCAGTCCCCAGTCCCTGTCCCCACTGAGTCTAACCCGACATGCTGAGTAGAGCATCTGAGCCACAGAGACAGTTAGGATGCTTCTCAGGCTTCAGTTCTCAAACCTGGCTGGGCCAAAAGTCACCTGGGAGCATTGAGAACACATGTGCCCATAGGACCGGAAGATCCTGACCGATGGGGCCAGGAGGAGCCTGGGGATGTGAGCTGTGTGACGTTCCCCAGGTGACGCGGGTGGTTGGACATGTTTTGGAACCATTCATTTAATCCAATCTCCCTATTTCACAGATAGGAAACTTCTAAAGTAATTGTTAGTTCCCATTCTTTATGGTCATGTGGTCCGAGTGCCTCCATCCTGTCTCACAGCTCCCTTCTATGGAAGAGCAAATTCCCTTCCTTCTGAGTTCCCAGCCACCTGCTTGGACTCTGATAGGAATGACTCTCCCTGCAGCCAAGGTCAGCCTCATGCAGAAACGCCCTGGAATGATGCCTCGTCCCCGGGTACCAGGCGTTTATGCAGCTGCCGGCCAGGCCAGCTCTCCTGAGCTCTGCTGCTCCTTTCCAGCCAGCTGCTTTGAGACCTTGCTCTGAATGTTCCTAAAAGACAAGTTTCACACCCGCCTGGTGTCCTCCCCACCCCACTCCAGCCCTGCCCCTGCAGGACCCCCTCTCTCAGCAGGAGTTTCTGGACTCTGGCCCCTTTATAGCTGAATGGCCCTGGCCCTAGCTGAGCTCACTCTCAATTCATATTTCAATCTGGAGTAAGGTTTCAGGCTGCAGATTTCGGTTCTAGGCTCTAAGAATCTGTTTTATGATCTTTTGTCATTGAAACTGTTCAAAATATGTTGGAAAATATCTGAGTGATCTTCAAGTCAAAGCATCATGGTAATATGGAAGGTGAAAAAATATTTCTATTTAAAAAAAAAACTTTCAGGAATTTTTCCAAGGTTATTCTCCTAAAAGGAATCCGGAAAATATCCAGTCTTATAGGGCTTTGTATACCCAATAACATTCTGCACCTAGTTATGAAATAGTTGGCTCTAGCATATGGGTATTTACATGGGAACTAACAAAACAAAACAGAAATGGTGGTGCAGGGGAAGGAAAGGAGAATCTCACAGGGGCTAATTTTAAATCTGTCCCAACTCTGACAATGTGGTCCCAGCCTCTGCTGTCTGCCCTGTTCCTTCTTCACGCTTGCTTGGAGGTCAGAGTTCTACATCATGGACCCAAAACGTAACCCTAGATACTTCGCTTGGGCAAAAGACAACAGCAGATATGCATCTTGATGTTGCCACTTAGAAAGCAGTCCTGGGGAGGCACAGGGGAGGCCCCTCTGCTGCTTTGTGAGAGAGAGAAATTCTGCCACAGAACTTTTCCCATATACAATGGTTTCGGAAAAACAATTTGCTAATAATTTGTCAATGAAAGGGAAATGTTAGCAGCCTCAGTCCCTCTAATTATCAGTATTTGTGGAATCACAAAAGCAACAGGCATTGTTTGGTGCTGTGGAGATGAACTCTGCCGAATGTGATAGTCTGGAATGGGCCAGCATGAGAATCATAGGTGGTAAGAATGGGCATGACCTTGGACAAACATCTCAGAACCTCATTTTCGGTGGAGGAAGTGCAGGCTCTGAGAGGTGAAGTGTGTGGCCGAGGATCTACCCCCCACCCCAGAAGCAGGTCCACAGCCATGACTCAGGTCTTCAGGCCGCAGCCCAGGGCCTTGCTCCATTCCAGGAGGTTTCTGACGGTGACCTCATCCCTGTGGAATGTTGGGGAGAAGACCGTTTGTATGGGCGACAGGAAAAAGCACACGGTCGCACCAGGCGAGGTGGGTGCCTCAGGTCAGAGGTGTATCTGCCTTGGGCTGCCTCTCCGTGTCCACCCTCCTCCCCAACGGGGCTCCCTCGGCCAGCTGCCAAGGGTGTATAGGGTGGAGCGGGTAGTGGAAGGCCAAGACTTGGCACTTTGGGTTTGGAAGGGGAGGGAGGAGGAGGAGGAGGAGGAGGAAATGAGGCCCCCCCCCGGGCTCCTTGCTGAGTCAGCATGGTGACTACTGTCATTTCCTAGAAGGAAATAAGGGAAGGACACCAATTCAATAGGAGACCTGGGGGACTTTCATACTCTCAGCTGATGCCAGGGTGCCCAGTGAGCAGGGGAAAGGCTTCCTGGCCCTGGCGGCAGGATGGGGCCAGAATATTCCTGGGCAGGAGCCCCCCCAGGTGGCCCATCCTGCCTGAGCATGTCTGAACATGTTCTTAGGTCAGGACTAGAGTTCGAGATTTCAGAAATGTCATTCTAACCTTGATCTCTTCGAGATGCCTGTTTATAACACAGCATCGTTCATGCCAATTGTCTGGCAAAGCCGGTATACACGGCTATCGCTATGATGTAAAACAGCAGATCTCATGTGAGGGTAAACTTGGAATTTACCCCGATGAGATGCGGTGTGGGGAGGGTCCAGTGGCTGCGAGGCCCTGGAAGCATGCCTCTTTCAGGGAGGCCTCCATCATCAGAGCTTCCGTCTGCAACGTCCCTGCCCTGTGCTGGCCAGGGAACTCCGCGGCGGGCTCCCCCACTGTGCCCGGGATTCGGACACTGCTTGCCGCGGAGTGTTTCCAGTCCCTCTTGAAATTCCTGGTTGTTGACAATTTGTTTATTATTCTAGCTCTTGAGGAAACTTCCTAAAAACTGGGGAAGAAGTAGTTCTTCAACTTTCTTGAATCTCAGGACACTTGGATCATCTGACGAAACTGATGAATGAAGCATGGGTACACAGATTTCTCTGTCTCTCAAATCACTTCGGGGCCCTTCTAACTCCCCAAAAGTCAGGTTTTAGGAATCTGTATTCCGAGGGGTCTCAAAATGTTCACGTGGTTCCCCTCTCCTCCAGGGTGGCCGGCCTCCCTGTTCCATCTTCTGAGAGGAGCTATACCCATTTTGCACCCTGAACCTCCAAACTCAGAAGTCTCTGAGGAGCCCTGAATAGGAGAAAATGTGGCTGAAAATGAAGTGGAAAATCAGTGTGATAACCAAATCAAGATCACGCCTCGCTGGGACCCTGTCACACTAAAGCTTCCAGAGCATAGTCGTTTTTAAAATCTGTAATAGTACCTGGAGTTTTTTCCTGTGCTTTCTATAATTCAGCTCTTTGAGTCTGCTCTGAACCCTTGGTGGTAGCTCACTGCTCATGAACAGATCCCCTCCTGGGGGGCTCCAGTGGCCTCCCACAATGGTCCCATTCCTGAGCTGTTTATCCTCACTCTGGAGGGCTCCCTCTGATCATCCAGGCTCACGGCTCTGGATGAGGCACAGGTGGGAAGGGCTGTGGGTGATGCAGGGAGGGCTTTCAGTCACCATCCCCTCCTGGAAGTGTATCCCAAGCCATTTCCAGGTGTACAGCTCTCAGGGGAGACAAGAATGCATTGTTCTACCTGGCACGATGGGGTGTGGGCCACGTGGGGTATGGGCCACAGAAGCACATTCCCAAACCTCCACTTTGGAGAGCCACGTACAGCGAAGCAGGAGAAGGCGGCAGAGGCGGGGATGGGGAGACCGTCTGTGAGTGTGGTTCCTGCCCGGCTTTCCCCTTCCCGCCAGGTCTCCCAGGAGGCCAGGTGGCGGCTGCAGCCGGTGGCAGACACTCCCTTCCTGGGGTGCTGGCTGCAGCCGGCTGCCATGGGACTCCAACCAGGGCTCTCCTGGGGTTCTGTTGACTCAACACATCATCTGACGCCACCCCGGCAGGCCCTCTGGGTGTCAGGTGCCAGTGAGACGGGTTGGGGAGGCTGGGACGGTGTCCAGACTGCCGCCTCTGCCCCAGAGCTCGTTTCCATGGTGCCGTTCCCAGCTCCAGGAGCTCTCCTCATTCACATCATGAAGGGAGAGGCAGGGATCGTGAGCTCTAGTGGTTGTCTGCCTCCAGTGATTAATTGGTACGATTCTCCACGGAGGAGGAAGAGAAGAGGAAGGAAAGCTGCAGATGAAAGGGAAATAAGCGTCTCGTGGTGGAAACAAAAGTATTGGTTGCATCCTTTCAAAGACGATCTGGAATCTCAAACCTAGGGTTTACCTCTGCCCCTCGATGGCAACAACAATTCTGGGAGTTCAGGGCCATGATAAAAAATGACAGCATCACACCTGAATTGCTGCTAGTGTTTTTAATAGACAGGTAACCACTCATCCCGAGGGAGGTGGGAAAGGAGCCCTCTTGCTAGGGAGCTTGGAATTCCTAATGCTGCCTGTGTCTGATGGACAGTACCTACCCCTGGTAGAGCTCGCTTCGCGGGGAGGGAGAACTCAGCCCTCTGTTTGCATGATCTGAGGCTCTGGAAAGCCCCCTGCCCCCTTCCAGATACCTCATCTACTTGACAAACTTCCAAGATGCCCTGCCTCCCCTTTCTACACATTGCTCTTCCCCGAAAGGTTCCTGCTCTGTTATTCTTGGTCAATCTGCAGAAGGCAGGCCGGATACTCCACAAAGGACCCAAGAGAGGAGCAGCCGTTAGGAAGGTGCAAGGCTGGGAGGGAAGGACAGGACCAGGGTTCCCGGATTCAATTGTACCACATCATACATGTTGCCTCCATGCAATTTTCTCTTTAGTGCCAGGTTTCTAGAATCAGTGCATGAAAAATGATATCTGAATACGGTGCTTAGGGGAGCCGGGTTTTTTCCACTTCTGATTCACTCCACAGCTTCAGCATCTATTGTCAGCTAAGCTCATCTTCTGTGAAGCCCTCACTGGTTTCTAGAGTGAATCATTCCTCCTTTTCATGCACTTAGCACATTCCAATGTTATCAAATGATAGAGTGCTGGGTTGTTTCCTGATGCACCTCGGGTCTTCCACTAAGCGTGAATGGCAGTGAGTCTCGCTTATCGCTATCCCATGGGGCCTGGTGCACTGTCCCAGCTCAAGAAAGATTTGTGGAGCTTGCTTTGTACATAGTGCTCAACAAGTAGACAAATCTAACTTTAAATCTTAAGCTCTTTAAAATACGCCGTTAAGAAAATGAAACAAGAAACATGACAGAGAGAAAACACAGCTATCCCTCTGTGTCTGCAGGGAATTGATTCCAGAACCCCTCTCAGGCACCAAAGTCTAGGATGTGCAAGTCCCCGATATAAAATGGTGTAATACGTGCATATGACCTATACACACCCTCCTGTATACTTTAAATTATCTCTGGATCACTTATAATACCTAATATAATGGAAATGCTATGCAAGTAATTATTATGCTGTGTTGGTTTTTCATCTGTATTTTTATTGTTGTATTATTATTTTTATTATTTTTTCCCCTGAATATTTTTGATCTGAATTGGTTGAAGCTGAGGAGGTGAAACCTGCAGATATGGAGGGCTGACCGTATTGCAAAACACATATATGATAAAGGACTTGTAGCAGAGTATATAAAGAACTCTCAAAACTCAGTAACAACAACAACAAAAAAAACTCAGTAAAAAAAAAAAAAAAGTGGACAGAAGATTTAAACACATACTTCAGCAAAGAAGATATACAGATGACAAATAATGATATGATATTCACCATCATTAATCTTTAGGGCTATATACATTAAAACTACAATGAAACATCACTACACCTACTAGACCAGCTAACGTCTACAAAAACCTGACAATACTAAGTGCTGACAATGATTTGGAACAACAGGAACTCTCATTTGTCACTGGTGGAAATACAAACTAGTATAGCCATTTTGGAAAATAGTTTGACAGTTTCTTCTGTAGTTAAACATACATTTACCATACAACCTAGCGATGCCACTCTTAGAAGATATGAAACCTTGTTCACACAAAATCCTGAATGCAATGTTTTCAGTGGCTCTATTCATAGTTGCCCCAAACTGGAGACAATTCAAACATCCTTCAACTGGTGAATTAATAAACTGGTACAGCACTTTGGGAGGTTGAAGCAGGAGGATCATTTGAAGCCAGGAGTTCAAGACCAGCCTAGGCAACATAGTGGGACCCCATCTCTACAAAAAATTAAAAAAGTTGGCTGGGTGCAGTGGCACACTCCTGTTGTCCCGGCTGCTTGGGAGGCTGAGGTGTGAGGATTACTTAAGTCTGGGAGTTCAAGGCTGCAGTGAGTCATGACTGCGCCACAGCACTACAGCCTGGGCGACAAAGTGAGACCCTGTCTCAAAACAACAAAAAAACAAAAAAAAATGAAAAACAAACCAAAAAACTGGTGCATCTATACAATAGAACACTACTCAGTAATAAAAAGGAAAGAACTCTTAATATATGCAACACAATGAATTAATCTCAAATGCATTTTTCTAAGTGAAGGAAGCCAGGTCCAAATATATACATACTATATATTTCCATTTATACAACATTCTGGAAAAAGCAAAATTATAGCGGACAGAAAAAAAAGTCAGTGTTTGCTGAGGATGAGGGGAGAAATTGACTATAAAAAGGGATGCGGAAATTTCTTTGGGTGTTGGAATTGTTCTATGTCTTGACGGTGGTGCTGATTACACAACTGCAGATGTTTCTCAAAACTCTCAGAATAGCACATTTTTTTTTAAAAGGGTGAGTTTTACTCTACGTAACTTATAGCTAAATAATCCTGACTTTTACAACAGTGCCCTAACATGAGTTCGGGGGGGTTGTCTCTGCAATGGGGGAAGCAGGTGCTTTTCCCCTGGGCCTTGAAGGAGGGACAGGCAGGGCTCGGATGGAGACGCCTCAGCATGATGGTGGAAACCTTGCCTCCGCCTTGGGGCCCAAGACCTGCTCACATAAAAATAGCAGCTGAATTCCCTCTCCCTCTGGCCCAAAGGTCATCTCCTGAAGGTGACAGAATGGAGCCACTACCAGGGGGCGGGGGAGTGCGAGGGGGAAGGAGCGAGGTCTCAGAGGCTCAGGCAACCTGGGCCCTGTCACCCAGACAACTCCCTCCCCTCCTGGAGACAGCTGTGCTCACACAGCCTGTACCCTGCCTTCCCCTGCTGTTGGGAGAAGGGGAGGGGGCAGGAGAGAGCTGAAAGGTTAGGCTGGGAGCAGAAAGGGAGATCCCACTCCTTCACCCGCCCTCACCTTCCACCAGACTCAGTCACCCGGCGCTCCTGAGGACAGGGGTCTTTGGTATATCTCTGCATATCCCTGAAAGGTGTGGACAGGTCAATGAGTCTTCTCTACAGCGGCTCTTGGCACAGGTCCGAACATGCAGAAAGCCTGATGATGTCCTGCTGCCCAGGGCAGGCCTGAGACCCGCAGCACAGGAGGCCCAAGGCGGCCATAAGGAGACCCAAGGCCCTCCGAGGGGCGCACGAGGGGTTCCAGGGAAAAGTGAGAAGGTGAGGCCCTCACCAGGTGGCTACTCATCCCAGAGAGGAGTTTGCAGGCCTGAATATGCCCCACCCGTCCCTCCTCCAGGCCCATCACCTCCCCGGGCCATCAGCAGCCACGCTAGGCCCACGAGAGGGTTCTATGCAATGGCTGCACCTTGAGAGCTTGCTTTATTTTTAGCTTTAAAAGTTGTGTTTTAAAGACATCTATATACTGAGTATAAAAATATTTACAAATATCCAAGAAATATGTTAGTAAAACTTTCTGAAGGCTGTGGTCTGAATGTGTGGGTCCCTGCCAAGTCCTTATGTTGAATTCTACCCGCAAGGTGATGGTGTTAGGAGGCCGGGCCTTGGGAGGTGAGGAGGGTGGTGCCCCATGCCCTTACAAGAGGGACCGCAGAGAGACCCCTCCTCCTTCCACCATGTGAGGACGCAGCCAGGAGGAGCTGAAGCAGGTCCTCAGCAGACACAGAATCTACCAGCACCTTGGTCTTGGACTCTAGCCTCCAGAACTGTGAGAAAGAAATTTCTGTTCTTTTTTTGTTTTGAGACGGAGTCTCGCACTGTTGCCTAGGCTGGAATGCAGTGGTGTGATCTCGGCTCACTGCAACTTGTGACCCCTGGGTTCAAGCAATTCTTCTGCCTCAGCCTCCTGAGCAGCTGGGATTACAGTTGCTCACCACCACACCCAGCTAATTTTTTTCTATTTTTAGTAGAGACAGGGTTTTACCATGTTGGCCAGGCTGGTCTTGAACTCCCGACCTCGAGTGATCTGCCCGCCTCAGCCTCCCAAAGTATTGGGATTACAGGCGTGAGCCACAGTGCCCAGCCACAATTTCTGTTCTTTATAAGCCACCCAGTCTATGGTATGATTACGGCAGCCTAAACAGACGAAGACGCTGAGTTAGCTAATTTGTTGATCCAAACAGTCCACTCTTTTTAAACATTTATTTTTGATTTTGTTAAAATGCACACAACCTAAAATTGACCATCTTCAAGCGCACAGTTCAGCAGCATTAACCACACTGCTGTGCAGCCCCCACCACCACCATCTCCAGAACCATTTCATAGTACAACACTGAAACTCTGTCCTCATAAAAATAACTCATTTCTCCCCACCTGCAACCCCTGGCAACCATCTTCTACTTCCTGTATCTGGGAATCTGGCCACTCTAGGGACCTCATATGAGTAAAATCTGGCAGTGTCTGTCCCTTCATGACTGCGTTCTCTCACTCAGCACAATGCCCTCAAGGTTCATCCACAAGGCAGCACCTGTCAGAATCTCCTTCCTTTTGAAGGCTGAATACTATTCCACCACATCTACACACAGCACGGAGGGCTTTCTCTCACAATTCCCTCCCGGCTTTGCCATCGCTTTGCTATTGCTCTGTGTCTCCCAAGAGATCGCTGCCCCTCCTAGGTCTGCAGCTTCCCTTTCCTGTGGTGACAGCAACTATGGTTGCTGCCTGCATGGCCTGGTGTCCCCATGTGCCCCCAACACCGAGGGCCAGAGCAAGGAGTAAGGACATCCGATGCAAACACCGCACCCACACGTTTCCTGGGGATGCCCCAGTCCCTCCGGGTCAGAATCTGTCAGCCTGTGCCCATGCCTGTCCCTTCCTTCTGGGCCACGGTCACAGGACTTGGGTCAGCAGGCCCGGGCAGGGAGGGAGCCCGGGACAACGCCAGACATTCCTGCCTTCCTGCAGCCAAGTTTCCGATGTGCTGTTGGAGGAATCCTGCCAAGGGTAATGTGACATTTACATGATGCCTGGTGGGGCTGCCCAGTGACATAACAGGGGGGTTGGGGGTGTGTCTCTGGGCACAGAGCCTGCAGCCCGGCAGAGTCTGATGACACTGTGTTGTGTAAATTGAAGCGACAGTCACCTGTTTCTCTAAGTCATGGCTCAAACCTGTTTCCTCTTATGTGACCATAAAATCACACCGCCTGTCACCTTGATCTTTGGGACTCTTCTGTCTTCCTTCTGAATAAAGCTACTTGATAAACACCCATCCACTTCCTGCAGGGGGAGAAGGCCAAATGCCCTCAGGTGCATTCTTTTGAGAGAGTCCAGAGAGCATGAGCCCAGCCAGAAGTAGGCATTTGTGATGGCCTTTCTGTGCACTTGTGCACACAAACTTTCTCGTGTGGGTGCCCTAAGTGCCGGCATTGTGCAGGAAGCTGTGTTGGGGGCTGGGAGCACAGTGGTAGCAGACACCATCCCTGCCCTCTTTCAACTGATTTTGCAAGGACTTCAGGAACACATTCTAGCACAACTAACTAGAGCTGCTCACTTATGAGCAGAGCCTCAGTTCAGCCATCAGTGAAATGGACAAATCAAATAGGAACTCTTGAATGGGCCACCTCCCCTGGGCAGCAGGGTGGCGTTGCTTCCAAGGTGTGCTTAAAGCCGGCTCTCTTCTTTGTGGTCTGAGCAGAAGCTGTAAGGCTAGGCCCTGGCCTTGTTCTTAGCTGTCCCTGGCCTACAGACCTTTGAACTAATCACTCTTGGTGGTCTGAATTCTCTGTAGACAGGTGGAAACCGTAGGCACTGTGTCCTCCAGACCTCAGCACAGCAAGAACAGTCTGGTGTTCATCCGGGCAGAGGAAGCAGACCCCACCCTGTGTTTACACGACACCAGCTCTTCAGGGGTCCGAGGGGGCGGGCCTGATGCCGGCATAAGGTTTGATGTTGCCAGCTAGAATCGCCAACACATCCCCGGAAGCCCAGTGGCTTAGCCTCCTATCAGTGCCTCCTCTGCAGCCCCTGCCAGGGCTGCCAGGAGCTCAGCCGGCCTTTGTTCTATTTCACCCCAACCAAATACCTCCTCCTCCTCCCTTCTCCTTATTCGTTAAAATTCAGCGCATGATACTGGCAAGCTTCAGCCGCAGCTCACAGCACTTTCAGAGGAAAACGTGGCGCGCCCGGGGCCTTCTCACAGCCATCGTGCAGCCGCCTGGGCAGCTCCCAGCTCCAATGGCAACTGGTAGCATCAGGAGAGTATGGGGTTCCCCAGTGGGGCTCCGGGGCAGCGCAACGCCACAGGACCTTGTGGTGGATGTGGCAAAGCATCTGCTCTGGTGGCCTGGGGCAGGTGAGGAAGTGAGCGCTTCTCAGGAGCAGAGCCAGGTCGTCTCTGCAGGCCCAGGCCTGCCGGCGCCTCAGCCCTGACGCCATCATCTCTCCTTTGACTGAGAACAAGGACCTCTTTCCTTGCCTAAATAGCCTACGGCTAAGAGGAAATCACCCCCAGTTACGAGAGGTTTCAGGAAGCCCCCCGCAACCTTCCACCCACCATCATCAAACTTTCAAAAGCAGAGAGTCTGGGATTTGAAGCCCCTGTCTGAAAAGTAGGTTTCAGATCCATCGGAAGGCAGGGTCAGGCCAAACCTCTCCTCTCAAGTCAGATAAAAACGATCACACCAGGGAGGAGAGGCCTGAAAAGGGGCAGCTGAAGGGAAAAAGAGCTGGAGAGTGGGGAGCAGCCCGGAGTGTCTCCTCTGGCTGGGAGGGGCCCTGTGGAGCTGGCAGCAGCAGCTCTTGGGAGCAGACAGAAGGCCGCTCCTTAGGACCAGGCGCTGCCACCTGCAGGCTCAGGCCCTGTTCACCTGCCGCAGATTCCCCGAGAGCCAGGCAGAAAAAGTGGACCCTGCCCCCAGAGCGCAGGCCCAGGGAGAGGCAGGCAGGTGGCCAGTCTGAGTCAGCGGGATGGAGGCGCCTGGCATGGGGAAGGGGTGTGTAGCCTGGGAGGGGCCTTGGGCGGGAGCATCCCCGGGGAGAGAGCTGGAGCCAGTTCCCTTAGGACACATGATAACTGGCAGAGGAAGAGCAGCTGCTGGGGAACGGGGGGTGGTGTGTAGGGAGCTGCACACCCTGGGGTGGTCAAGGCAGAATGGGCACCAGCTGCAGCCCACCAGGCCTGCTCTTGGGGTCCCAACAGGCAGGGAGAAGTGGTGGACCTGTGTCCGAGCATCAGGGGGCGCTGCAAGTGGGCATGCTGGGTGCCCAGCAGGGGTACCATCATTCCCCAGGGGTGTAGAGAGTGGGCCGAGCCCGGGAGCCCTCTGAGGAGGCTCTGCCACCACCTGTGGGACAGCAGGAGGAGCTTGAACTCTGTGGGGACTTGGAGCAGAAAGGACCCGCCGCTGGAAGTGAGGGTCACAGGAAAGGGGAAGCCCCGGAGCCCCTGGTCCTTGGCTTGGAGAGCTGGGTACACAATGATGCCCAACCCTCATAAGGTCCACACATGACAGGGTGCCTCCAATCCACTGTGGACGGTGACAGGTCAGCAAGGGTCTGACATAACCCCTTAGCTGTGGGGGGCACAGAGAATGGGCACGGCTGGGATACAGTGGTGCGCTGGGTGCAGGGAGGGGGTGTGGACGCAGGGAGGAGGCAGGTGCCGGGAGCAGACATCAGAGCCCAGAAAATGCCACAGAAATCGAGCCTCTCTCCACCCTGCCTTCCAACCTCATCCACCCAGTGGCTCAAGGCTGCCAGGATAAAGAAGGACGGGTGTAACGGGTCAAGGCGAATCCAAGCTTTGAGGTGTGCAGGTACAGAGGACTCTTGTGTGGTCCCCACAGCCATGGGTGCACAGGCCAGTGGGTGCATTCAGGGGACACGGCAGAGGGAGGTGCATTTTTGTGCTGTTTTCCTCTGTGCCAGCCCCCTGGGAAGCAGGCACTGTTGATGCCCTGTCCCTAGGTCTCACTTCTGAGTTCGCCTGCAGCTGGGAGGCAGTTCCTGTGGGCACTGGGGCTTCCCACCCACCTCAACCCTGCCTGAGAGTTTCCTCTGGTGCCCAGGAGCTCCCTCGGGAGGAGCGCCGCCAGCTTGGGGAACTAGGGGTTTGGTCCCCACAGGGCCACCTGGGCTAATGCCCCTGGGGGCACATTCAGCCAGCACTTCACCAGGTCCCTTGTGAGGCCTCAGCTGTCCCCACTGTCCCTCTGAGCCTCCTCCTGGTTTTTCCCTTCACTGTCCCATCCCCCACCCCCTCGCCTGTGCTTCCTGGGATCATCGCTGGTATGGTTTAGGTGTTTTGTCCCCTCCGAATCTCATGTTGAAATGCGACCCCCGAGTTGAAGGTGGGCCTGGTGGGAGAAGTCTGGGTCATGGGGGCGAATGTCGTGGTGCTGTCCTCGTGGTAGTGAATGAGTTCTCGCTCTATGAGTTCACACGAGGCCTGGTTGTTTGAAGGAGACTTGCACCTCCTCCCTGTCTCTTGCCCTCTCACCATGTGACACCTCAGCTCCCCCTTTGCCTTCTGCCATGACTGGAAGCTTCCTGAGGCCTCGCCAGGAGCAGACACCAGCACCATGCTTCTCCTACAGCCTACAGAATTGTGAACTGAAATCAACCTCCTTTCTTCATAATTTGCCCAAACTCAGATATTTATAGTGACACAAATGGACTAACACAATCTCCCAAACCAACTCCCTGACCCTTGTCACCAGCTCTGCTTTTGAGGGAATCCACATTACAGGCAGGGGAATGGGTGCAATGGATACCAGCGTCAGCCCCTTGCAGACCTATCCAGATGCAAGGACTTGGCTCTTTGGACCACTCCAAGCCACCCTGAGATGCCACGTGGAACCCTAGGAAAACCCACCTCTGCAAGAAGGTCCTGAAATCAGGTAACTTCTCGCTACAGTGTAAATGACTGATAGGCTCAAACGGGCCGTGGGAGGGTTTCAGGACAGGGTACAGGAAATGACCTGCAAGTCTGCAGAGCCAGTCTGCAAACTCTGGGGAGCACCCCTCAATGCCCTTAGGCCACCTTTCCTTCTCTGACCTCTGTCCCCATCCCTGCCCCAAGTTGTGTCTCTTTGACACCTGGGATGTAAGCTGTGAAAGCTAAACTGCACTGTAGTTGGAGACTCTTGAGAAACCGAATGAACAATATTTCTGAAGATCTCCCACGAAGGTTGCCTCCCTCCCTGCGGTCAGGCTGCCTGCAGGCCTAGTCCCAGCAGATCTCCGGGAGATGCTGACTGCTGGCCGGATGCCTGTGTGGTTACGATCCGGTTACATCTCAGCCCCCTGCTGAGAAAGAGGCGCTAAGGTGGCCCTGGAGCCGTGAATTCACTGGGATTGAGATCATCTCGGCGACTTTATCATGAAGGCCAGCACAGGAGGCCCCTCCTTCCTGTTGGAGATGTTTAGTTTTATGATTAAGAAATGGCAAAGGGCCTTTCAGACTACTTTTGCTTTGAAATAAATCAGTGAATCAATGAGATGAGAAGTATTCACTGGGCACCGGCTGTACAGGGAAGAACTGGAAGTGGGATATGCAGTGCCTGGGCTTGGGGTAACAGAACCCAGCCTACGGGCCAGAAAGAAATGCATGAGCCATTAAGACAGTGCAGGAAGCATCTGATGGAGGACACGTCAATCTTTTCATCAATCATTGAAAGCAGGACGAGGAGGCTGGGACACAGCAAGGTGCTCAGGCCCTCAGAGGAGGCAGTGGGGAGGTTCTTGATATAGGCTGGTCTTTAAGAAGGACTGGGACTAAGATAAACTGGGGTACATAGCGGAGGAAGAAGGGAGTAGAGGGGCAGTGCTCTGCTGCCACAGGCGGCCGCAGATGGGTGCCCCCACATTGCAGAAACAGCCTCAACAGGAGCCTTGTGTACCTGCCAACATTTTGCTGCATACAAGATTAATGAAATAGTTCCACTGAAATCTGGTGATGGAGTTCTCGGCAATGTGGTTTTTGTCCTGTCATCTCATAGGAAACAGGTCTTTGAATAAGTCATTGCATCATTGCAAAATGATGTTTCCTCCCCAACAAGGGAAATCGGGGGTGACGTTTAGCAGCTCCTTCTGCAGCAGTGTTTTAAGTTGAGTGGCTAGAAAAGAAAGAGGCGTATTATACGCCGGGCTGTGTTCTGGGTGCTGGGGACAGTGAACACGACAGAGAAGAGCCCAGCCCTCGTGGAGCTCAGGTTTGTAGACTCTGGCTCCTTGGAGTATGGTCTGAGGACCAGCAGCCTGTTTGTTAGACACGCAGACCTCCAGGCCCCCACCCCAGACCTACGGAGCCTGAATCTGCCCTTTGACAAGACTCTTCAGTGACCGACAGACACGTCAGGGTGAGATACGCGGCTGTAGGCCAGGGGTTCCGAATTTTGGCAAGAATCAGGACCCCCTTTTTAACGCAGGCTTGTGAATCTGTGGATTTCTGAGCCCCACCCTCAGAGATTCAGATTTGGGAACTGGGATGGAGGTCCAGAAATTGGCTTTTCTGATGAGGTTCCAGGTAATGCCAGGCCTGCCGGTCTGGGGCTCACACCCTGAGAGCCACCTGCTGTAGGAGATCATCTGAGTTCTGGGAGAAGACTGGGGCTATCTCCGCCACGCGTCCCAGGCCCTGGAGAAGCTGACGGTAGCTTCCAGGCTTCCCCTTATGTGGCCAGGCCATAGTTCCCTTAACCTCCCACACCCATCCCCTCCACACGGGGGGAGCCTGGCCTTGTGCCGAACCCCAAATAATCCTCAGTGCTTGGCCTGCCCGTTTAGAGGTCAAACATCCATGCAGAACCCATCCAGCCTGCCCGGGAAATCCGAGCAGGGATCACACAGGATGTCCCAGGCATTTCCACACAGGCGAGACCACAGAGCATTATGCAGCCTTGATGTGCCAACTGAGTCATGCAATGTGCTGCACACACGAGCACCCAGCAGACGCCTGTCCTCTCCTCCCCTCAGCTGTCAGGCACAAGAGTCCACCCCCTTCCACCTCCCACTCCTCAGGGGCTGCCCCCCAGGGAAGCCCCACTGGAGCAGGCACCTGACCCAGACCTGAGGCCTGCGTCACTGGGCCGGGGGAGGAGGAGGTCTGAACAGAAACACTAAATTAGCCACCTTCTCCCTCCAGTCTCTACCTGTGCTGTCCAAGAGGCAGCCACTGGCCTCACATAGCTATTTCTTTATAAAATTCAAGTTCAGCTCCTTAGTTGCTGTTATGGGTTGAAATGTGTCTCCCCAAAAAGATACAATGAAAACCTCACCCTGGTACCTGTGCATGTGACCTTAGACATAGGGTCATTGCAGATATAATCAAGTTGAGATGAGGTCATACTAGGGTGGGTCCTCATCCAGTGGCCGGTGTCTTTATAAGGAGGAGGAAACGTGGACACAGATACACAGGGAGATGGAAGCTGAGATTGGAGCGGTGCATCTTTTTAAGCCAAAGAATAAGGATTGCCGGCCGGGCGTGGTGGCTCACACCTGTAATCCCAGCACTTTGGGAGGCCGAGACGGGCAGATCGAGAGGTCAGGAGATGGAGACCATCCTGGCTAACACGGTGAAACCCCATCTCTACTAAAAATACAAAAAATTAGCCGGCCTGGTGGTGGGCACCTGTAGTCCCCAGCTACTCGGGAGGCTGAGGCAGGAGAATGGCGTGAACCCGTGAAGCGGGGGTTGCAGTGAGCCGAGATTGCGCCACTGCACTCCAGCCTGGGCGACAGAGCGAGACTCTGTCTCAAAAAAAAAAAAAAAAGAATAAGGATTGCCGAGAACTGCCAGAGGCCAGGAGGCAGGTGGGGAGCAGGTTCTCCTTCAGGGCCTGCAGTAGAAACCAACCTTCCCACACCTTGACTTCAGCCTTCTGGCCGGCAGAACTGTGAGAGAGTCAGTTTCTGCTGTTTGAAGCCACCCGGTGTGTGGTGCTCTGTTGTGTATGGTAGCCCTGGGTGCTAATCCAGCTGCACTGTCCGTATTTCCAATGCTCAACAGCCAGATGTGGCTGGTGGCTACCAAGATGGACAGCATGGATACAGAACACTTCCCCCTGTGCGGGGAGTTCGATTGGAGGGTGGTGTTCTGCAGAATGCTTTCTAAGAAAGAAGCAAAGGTTAAAAGTTTAATTTTCAGAAAAAGTTGCTGGGGTAGCCCAGTTGCATCTTCCACATCCTTTACATCCCTAGTGCCGGTCCCCCAAAAGAGAGAGGAGGCCTCATCATCAAAGGGACATCAGTAGGCACACACTGACTCTCTTCCCTGACATGAGAAAGTCCACCTAGACATTCAGGCCGGAGCTTTCGTCCATGCTGACAGCAGACGGATGGGGATGCAGGTCCACACTGATCCTGAGAGTCCCACCCACAGAGGGAGCCCCCACGGCAGTCTTGCCAGGTCCCTGCCCACCCGCTTGCCTTCCTTCCCCTATCTCCTCTCCCCATCTGCCAGGAAGCCCATCAGGGCACTGCCAGGTCCGCTCTGTACACAGACAAATGCAACTTTGAAGTTTCACACTCACCAGTTGGCAATGCATTCCTTAGGATGGAGGCATTCATAGTCCCAAGAATCCCAAGTTAAAATACTCTCAGGAGAAACACCAAGTCCTGTTATTGGATAATAAGACTCTAGCATGAATTAATGATCAGAGTGAAGGCCTGGGGGGCACAGCCCCTAGGATAGCAAAGTTTTGGTTGAGGGGATGAGGTGATGGCAAGGAGGGCGAGGACCAGAGCCCAAAGGTCTCTCCTGGGAAGGGTCCAAGTTCAGGACTGTAGGTCTGGAATGCCAGAAGCTGGGGGTGATACCTCTCGCCTTCCAGTTCCGAGAACTGGAGCAAGTAGAGTGAATGTCAAACTGCCAAGGGCACGATTTTGCCTCTAAGCATCCGTCCATGTACTACTCACCTCTGCTCATCTCTCCAGGGACCCAGCCTCTATGCTGGGCTCCCTAACCTGCCTGCCCAGGGAGAAAAGGGAACACCTGGCAGAAGACACCTCTGCCAGCCCTTCAGCCTCTCACATTGCCTGCTGCTCAAATAGCTCATCTTTCTTCAAGGCCATGATGGCTTCTCTGACTCACTCATCAGCGCGCGCGAAGCAAAGAAGGAAAGAGGAAAAGCGCACCTTCTCCGTCACAGTGAATGGCACCCTGCAAAGGACTGCGGGTGCTCTAAGAAAGGAAATCTGTTTTCAGAGCTCCTGCAGCTGCTTTTCAATGTGTCTTCAGTTTATTTTACCAATGAGCAAATAAACTGGTGTTTCCCCTGCAGTGTCTTCTGCCCAGATAGCAGCGATTCTGCTCTCCGCTGTGGCCGGAGCACTGGATGGCTCCGTCAAGCCCTCAGTTGTCTTACTGATGAGAACAACTCAAGGAACTTCTCCCACATCATCTGGCCACTTGGGCTTTAAAAAATGTTTTATGGAGCATAATATAGAAAAGTGCACACATTGAGAGTGTACAGCTTGACAAATTTGCACAAAGTTCATGCATCCATGTAACCAGCACCCAGAGAAGGAAAGGAATGTTACTACCCACATGGCAGCCCCCTTCAATCTCCCTGCCAGGCACCACCTGCCTCCTCAGATAATCATCATCATTCTTTTTCTATTTAAAAAAATTTTTTTGGCTGGGCGCGGTGGCTTATGCCTGTAATCCCAGCACTTTGGGAGGCTGAGGTGAGTGGATCACAAGGTCAGGAGTTTGAGACCAGCCTAACCAACATGGTGAAACCCTGTCTTTACTGGAAAACACACACACACACACACACACACACACACACACACACACACACACACACACACACACACACACAAATTAGCTAGGCATGGTGGCAGGTGCCTGTAATCCCAGCTACTCAGGCGGCTGAGGCAGGAGAATCACTTGAACCTGGGGGGCGGAGGTTGCAGTGAGCCGAGATTGCGCCATTGCACTCCAGCCTGGATGACAGACCGAGACTCTGTCTCAAAAAAAAAAATGTGGGTACATAGTAGGTGTATATATTTATGGGGTACCTGAGCTGTTTTGAAAGAGGCATGCAATGTGAAATAAGCTGGTCACGGGGAATGGGATATCCATCCTCTCAAGCATTTATCCTTTGAGTTACAAACAATCCAATTACACTTTTTAAGTTATTTTAAAATATACAATTAAGTTATTATTCACTACAGTCACCCTACTGTGCTATCAAATAGTAGGTCTTATTCTTTCTAACTAATCTTCATGATTCTAGCATCATATGTTTTGCCTGGCTGTGTATTTTGTGACCCAGAGCTGCACATTTTGTATTCTTTTGCTTCAGGCTTCTCTTGCTCAGTGTTGGTTGTGAGATGCAGCCACACTGCTGCATGTGGCTATAGACTGTTTCTCCACATTGCTGTAGGAGGTTCCATTATGCAAATCTACCATCATGTGTTTACCATTTCGACTGCTGATGGGCATCTGGGCGGCGTCTACTCTGGGGCTATTATAAATGATGCTGTATGAACATTCTATACATATGTTCCCCAGAATTGCTGCTTGCTTTTAGTTAATGTATTTATTCAGCACAGAAGACATTATAGAGAGATGAGGAAAGGGGAGGGGCCCAAGTCTGAGCATTTGTGGAACACCTACAATGTGCTGGGCCTGCGTATCTACTGCAATCCACGCGGCACCTACCGGGTGGGGATTTACAACTCTCTGCCTCCCGGGGCGCCACGGCTTGGAGAAAGAGAGTGAGTATTGCCAAGGGAGGCACAGGGAGAGCGAGGCTGCTCAGCGGTGCGGCAGGTTTTGAACCCAAGTGTAACCACTACAAAGCCTATGATTTAGTGGACAGACCACGTCCCCAAAATGTTAGCGCTTAAAAGTCCTGCCCCTGCTAGCCTCAGCAACGGGAATAAAACAGCCATGAACGAAATGAGGTTTCTTTGGTGTGTCAGATACTATCTTCTATAGGAGACACCACTGAAATTACCAGCCAAATGCTGAACACATTTTTGACGATTAGCAAGTTAATGAGAATTTTTCAACCTTCTGATAAAACGTAAATGCAATTGAGTTATACTTCCAGCTGCTCTGAACAGAGGCCTGGTGTCTGAAACGTACAGGATAAAATGTTCAGGTTATCAAGCTGCTCTGGAAACCCCTCTGGTCTCAGAGTTGGCTGAGAATATCAGGCTCCCTTTTCATTCCTACTGATAAGCCCACTTCCTCTCGAGCAACACCAAGGAAACAAGGGATTATGGTGTTTTTTCTCTTTTCTCAATCGGGTTGTAAAACACACACACAGATGTACATGGATTGGAAATTAATCCAGCCGGGAAAGTTGGCTGGCAAGCACTCGGTCCCAAGCAGGATCACCCCGGTATGCCGAACACGCAGCCGGCATCTGGCTGCAAGCATCTGTCTATCACACACAGCTGGGCGAGGGGACAGCCGACTGTCTGTGACAGACACTCCTTAGGGAGACAGATAGGGGGAGGGCTACGTCTTTTCAGAGAGAAAGAGACGTGAGAGGTAAGCACAGTTTTCCCAAAGGCCCATAAAGAAAGCAATTCTATTTGTCCAGGATCAGCTCACTAAGGTCCTCCTAGAGCAGGGTGTTCGATTGGAGGGTGCTCTGCTCTTCAAATTAATTTCAGTCTCCCTGCTTAACTCTCCAGGCTCTGGGGTCCCCTCCTAGAGCAAGAGTGTTGACTCCTCCTTACACTGCCCTCTGCAGGTTGGTGGCACTTCCTTGTAGAAATCTCATAAGTGGCCCTTCTTAGCCGATCTCATCTCACCCGCTGCGTTTTATTTGACATTCCTACACATGTTTTATGATTTCACATCCCCCCGCCCCCCATCTGTGCACCTGCAACTCCCAAGTTCACTGTTGTTGAGGGTAGAACTTCAAGCCAGGAGCCTGGGTCTCTTGAGTCTTGCTCATCAGGGTTAAGATGAAACGACAGGTATGTGAAACCATGTTGTACCCTGCAAAGCATGTTGAAAATGCTTCCCGGAGTAAAAGGTTAGGTAACACAACTTCAGTGTGACTCAGCACAGCAGATATGCAGCACAGAGAAGACCCTGGGACATGCCCAAGGCCACACAGCTGGCTGGTGTCAGTCAGAGCTCCAGCCAAGCCTTGAAGTCTGGCTCTGGAGACCAAGCTCCTGACTGCTGTCTCCTCCTGCCTCTTTGCCCTGTAGCACCAAAGGAGAAATTAATCTTTCCTCCTAGGTGGTAATGACTAGTTGCAATCAAGGCTGCAGAGAGACCCACTCATAGCCCAGGACTGGGAGGTCAGGCTCCTGCCTCGCCCTGCCTTTAACAAGTCAAATTCTCCAAGACATCCAACTCATCTCCCAGACTGTGAAACTAGGGTCCCAAAAGGGTCAGGACTATCTCCCCACCTGGGACAGTGCCTTGCTGTAAAGATTAAGTCCCAGGAAGACACCGAGATCTCCCACCACGAGGCTTCTTGCAGAAAGCCAGAGTACGAGCAACCAGCACCCTGACCTGCCTCCTGCTTTGAGCAGGTGTGCACTGGAAATGCAAATGATGGTTTTTATAGAATTTCAAGCTGAAATCTTCTGACTTTCTTCCAAGGAATGTATTCAAAGGAAAGATGCAAACCCATTTTGGCTGTCTCCCAGACTAGGCGTTAGCTGTGGCAGTAACAGCAGCTTCAGCAAACGCTCAACACAGCCTGAGTCTAGAATACGTTCCGGCAATGGCTTCTGCTTCTCCAACCTGAGCCGGAGGCCACGGTGGTTCCCCATGCATCTCAGCCCAATTGGAGCCACCTGGCCTGGCCAGGGACTAGATGGAGTAGGGCACTCAAATACACCCTCCAGAGGCGTCTACCATGAGGGAAGAGGGTGCCTCTGGCCCAACCCAACGTCAGCCTCAAATGTTCGGACCTGCCTGCAGTCATGCAGAGGAGGCCTTCCCCCTCGGCTGCGTCCTGGGTGCCCCAGCCTTACTGAGCTCAGCCCTGTCTCAGTTTCAGAAGGAAATGCTCACAGGGGACCACAAGTCCCCAGGACATTTAACACCTGGTCAGAGGACAAGTCCAAGCACCTGGATAGCAACTGGACCATGTCATGAAACCCAGTCCTCCTCCCTCCGACGCTGCCCAAACTTGAGCTGCCGTTGTCCAGGCTAGACGGCATCCTGGCAGCAGGAGAATGAACAGCAGTGTCCCATTCATTCAACAGGTGAGCAGGGGACCTCAATAAGGCAAGTCCCTGATAAGGCAGTCCCCAGAATGGAGTGTGGAGCAGGGTAGCTGAGGTGTGGCTGCAAATTCCTAGCAGGTCCCTCCTACTAAACGGTGGTCGGAGAAGCTGCTATATAATGACCGTTTAGTGACATTCCTAGAAATGTTTCTTCCCGCCCTTGAGCCTGCATTTCAGCTTCCAGAGCTCCCCAAACCTCGGGAGGGTCACACTGTTGGCTCTGGGGGAGAGGAATGGGAATTTGAAGGCCAGAGGCTCTCTGGCTCGCACCCATCACCCGCTCTCCTCTCTGGTGGGGTGCTCCCGAAGGTGACTCAGTTCTCCAAGCCAAATGCAGCCATCTGATGTCACCACCTCATCTCCAGAAGGAGTCCTGAGGGAGAACTGGGTCCTCACCACTGCTGCAGTGGCAAACAAAGGACACAAAAATAATTGAGTGGCTGGTCAAGAACCAAGTTAAACCGGCCAGCCAGGGAGCTGGGCCTACGTCAGTAGGGGGCTCAGAATAGCCACAGAGCCCGTGATGTGCCCAACTCACCCCGGGGCCACCGGGGCCAAAGAAAGCCCAGGCATGAGCCAGCACCGGCCCCAAGGCAGGAAAGCCCAATAGCGAACATGGTGGACATCTACCCAGAGAACTCTCGGCCCAACCCAGACGGGGCAGGGGAGGACGCACAGAGAAAACATGCTGACTGTCCACCTGCAAAGGCCCCCGGACATGACCACTGGGTGTGAACTGGCCCCCGCTGTCCACAAGGGGGGCGCTGTCCCCGTTGAAAGCTGGGGAAATGGAAGTAGGAAGAGATGAAGGGGCTTGCCCAGCAACATTTGGCTGACCTGGACCTGAACCCAGGGTTGTCAGGCTCCAAACCTCCAATTGCTTCTTACCCTAAACTCTCCATGCAGCCAGCTACTGTGAGGTATTGTGAAAGGAAAGTCGGATGAATCTTATTATTTCTTTTTTGGCTTACTAGACTCTGAAAGGCCGCATTAGTGAACTCGGGACTCTAATAACTCCTGGTGTCAGGCCTTGCCCTCAGAATGATCGTCCAGTGGGGCACTGTGTGGCCCCTCAAACCCCCATGCCAACCTGGCACCTGCCAGCCATCGAAGAGAATAGAAGCAACAAAAAATAAAAATAGTAAATGTACCAGTATCTTCTATGCAGCGTAAAGATGGTTTTCACTCTACAGCCTTCTCTGTTTAGCAAAGGAATGCATTTGTAACGAAGGATTTTCAGCCACCGAGCCAGCCAGGTAAAGGGAATTTGGAGCCAGAGGGTCCTCATGGCATGCCTGTAGGGTCCTGGCAAGTGAGGATACACTGTCCACGTGGAGGGCTTTCCTGTCGTACCCCGTGTTAGCCATGTAATGTGGGCAGTGACCAGAGGGGATGACAAAGGTAAAATGTCCAGCAATTCACAGGGAACTTGAGCACAGCAAAGTCACTGGGTAAGTGCAGTGGCCGGCAGCTGCCTCTCTGGAGTGCCCTTGGTGAGGCAGGGCCTTTTAAGTTCCATGTGAGCCAACAGCCTGGTGCTGCCACCTGACACTAAACCCCAGCACAGGTTCAGCTCGGGGCACCCATGGACAGAGCTGAAAGGAAGCCACCAGGGCACGCCACTGCTCTCGTCAGAGCCCAGCAGACCAGCTACCTAGTTCTGTGAGAATACCAGAAGCAGAGGGGCCGGAAACCATGACACTGTGTGACACTGTGTGATGGGCGATGGTGACACTGTGACACTGTCACAGTGCATGACATTGAGTGACGTGTGTGACACTGACACGTGATATTGAGTGATATGACATTTTATGATGGTATGTGATATTGTGACAATGAACAATGTGTGAACTGTATGACATTGAGTGACACTGTGACACCGATGTATGAACTGAATGACATTGTGTGACACAGTGTTGTGACACTGACATTGTGTGAAATCGATTTGTGACAATGTGTGACATTGTGTGACGATGAGGGATGTATGGTACTGTATGACATTGACACTGACAATGACGTGTGACATTGAGTGACGTGTGACAATGATATGCAATGTGTGACATTGATGTATACTATATGACAGTGACATTGAGTGATGTGATATTGAGTGCTGTTTGTGACTGTGTGACCCTGCATGACACTTGGTGATGTTGAGTGATGACATTGAGTGATGTGACATTCTGTGACATTATGTGTCTGTGACATGAGATTGACACTGAGTGACCTGTGTGACATGGTGACATTGAGTGACTTTGATATTTGTGACATTCTGTAACATTGAGTGTGACAGTGACATGTGATACTGAATGACGAGTGACACTGACACATGTGACTGTCAGTGACATGATATATGTGACACTGAATGACACATGTGACATTGTGTGACACACACATAACACTGACACTGACAAGTGACATTGCGTGACACTGAGTGAAGTGTGAGACATTGTGATATTGGATGTTTCTTACACTGTGACACGGAGTGATGTGAAGTGATATGTGTAACATTGACAGTGATGTGTGATGCTGTGAGTGATGTGTGACATTGAGTGACAGTGACGAGTGACGTGAGACTGACATTGAGTGATGTGACAGTGACAGTGACATGTGATATTGTGACACTGAGTGACGTGTGACACTGAGTGCCTGGGGGACTCAATGGCCACTTCGCCTTCCAGAGGGCTTTCAGGAGGAAAAGCATTTACAGTAGAGCCCCACGGAGCACTCTCGAGTCTAGAAGGGTGGCCGGAGCCCAGTGAATAGAAACTGCACTGGTGTCTTCAGCTCAGTTCCAAGTCGGAGCAGCCACCTCAGCAGAAGGGCCGGCCTTTGGGAGCCGCCTCTCCCCTGAGCTGAGGCTTGGATGCACCAGCAGAGAGATGGCAGAGGCAGGTGGAGACTCAGGAGGCACCTCTCACTTCAGGATTGAAACCAGAACTCTAAGTCCGGGACTTTCTGCCACCCGTGCCCCGCCCAGCCTGTCTCTATCTCAGTGCGTGGCACCCCTGTCCCCCAGCTGCCGAGGCTTCGCTCTCGCCCCCCGCCCTGAGGCAGCACACCAAGTGGTCACCCACCAGTCTCCCCACCACAAAAGACTCCCCTCCCCTTTGCTCCGCTGCCACACTGAGGCCACATGAACCTTCGTGGGAAGAGAAGACCCCGTCACTCCTCTGCTCGAAGCTCTGCGGTGACCCCATCACACTTAGAGGAAGACTCAAGGGGCAGCCCCTTCAGGGCCCGTGCATGTGCTGTTCTCCCCTCCCCGGGAGCCCTGCCCTCTCCCTGCTCTTGCATCTCTCCCAGGGCGCAGCCACCCAAAGTGAGGCCTCCCTAAGCATACCATCTAAGAGGGCACCGCTCACACACCCCCATTTGCCACATGCTCATTCAGCTTCATTTTTCTCTCTTCACTTGTCACTATCCGCCCAGATACACACATGGAGATGTCATGACATCTAACACACTCTGCTTGCCCCTACAAGCAAATAGGCTCCACGAAGCCAGGGACTTTGTTCTCTGTACCTCTGTGTCAGCAGAGTCTAGAATATTGCTTGGCACAGAGCACTCATAGTGGTAGGCAGAGAGTGTCAGCAGTGCTGGGTCCAGAGTACTAAGAGTGCTAGGCTTACAAAGTACTAACAGTGCTAGGCATATGGTACCAGCAGTACTAGCCCTAGAGTATTGCGAGTGCTAGGAATACAGTACTAACATGCTAGGGTTAGAGTACTAAGAGTGCTAGGCTTAGAGTACTGAGAGTGCTAGACTTAGAGTACTAACAGTGCTAGGCCTAGAGTATCAACAGTACTAGGCTGAGAGTGCTGAGTGCTAGGCTGAGAGTACTAAACAGTGCTAAGCTGAGAGTACTGAGGGTGCTAGGCTTAGAGAACTGAGGGTGCTAGGCTTAGAGGATCAACAGTGCTAGGCTTAAAGTGCTAAGAGTACTAGGCTGAGAGTATGAAGAGTGCTAGGCTGAGAGTACTGAGTGCTAGGCTGAGAGTACTGAGTGCTAGGTTTAGAGTACTGAGGGTGCTAGGCTTAGAGTACTGAGGATGCTAGGCTGAGAGTACTAATAGTGCTAGGCTAGAGTACTGAGGGTGCTAAGCTTAGAGTACTAAGAGTACTAGGCTTAGAGTACTAAGAGTGCTAAGCTTAGAGCACTAACAGTGCTAGGCTTAGTAGTAACAGTAATAGGCATCACAGTACCAGTGATGACTAAGCACTTTAGTGTATGCACTTCAGAAAATAGTCAAAGAGTTAATATTCAAATAGGTTAATATATTTCAACACTTTAAATCTATTGCTTCCTTTAATCTCCATCCACCAAGGAGGACAGCAATATTATCCCCATTTTATGGATGGTGAAACTGAGGCACAGGAAAGTTAAGCAACCTGTAGATATTTATCAAATGTGTTGAAGGAACGAGGAAGAGAACAGGCTCTCCATCACAGAAGTGTTTAAACTACTTGTTAGGGTTACTCTCGGATATGCAGGTTCCTGAGAGCCGCTAGCCTGTCTCAACTCAGATGCAAGTTCTACAATTTAGAAATCTTTGGACCCCAGGACTCTTCCTAGCCACAGCCTGGTGCTAACTCTAGACATGGGGACACAGGTCCAGTGTTGGTGGCCTGCCACCGACTGGGTTTGGCACCATCACCCAGAAGCCGCCCTCCTCTGGGTTTCCCAGGCGCCCCAGGTGGCTGGGCTGTGTCTCGGGTGATGGAGGAGGTGTACAGATCCCATGTCAGGGTGTGACTGCCCGGAGGCAGTGGCGGCAGAATGTCAGGTGCCACCAGGGACTCCAGGCCTTCCTCCGCGGCGCGTACGTGCATCACGTGGTGTAACATGACTGGGCGGCTCAGTGTGGCCCCCACCCTCACGTGCCCTCCTGGCACCCAGCCTCCGCCCGACCCTCTGAGAGCTCTGAGGAGTGTGAACAATGGGACGGGCTCAGGCTCACTCACCCGGGAAGGACGCTCTGCTGGCTCAGCAGGAAGGGGCCTGGCACCCAAAGCCTGGACATCCTGTGTGGCCTGGAGGGAGAATCAGATGGGGTGGCCACCGCAGGAGACTGGGTCCCTCTCCTCCACTCCCTGGCAGTGACTCTACACTCAGGACCCACGAGACTGCTAATGGTAACCACAGGGACAGCCCTGCAGGGGCCTTGCTCTGGCCCACTGTGAAAGGGAAAGTCCCCTTCCTCCACTGATGTAACAAAACAAATCTGCTCTTGTTGGCCCTGATGAGCTGACACCCGGCCAGAGCCAAGCCCAGGGATGGGAGGTGCCCACTGGCCTGACCTCGGACACCAGCTCCTGGGCTGCAGGTCCAGGAGGCACCCAGGCACAATCAGGCTCCTGTTGCCAAAAAAGGGAGTGCATGCAGAGTAAGCAAAATGAGTGTGCCCCATAACCACATTCAGTCACCCGGGGCCACGCTGTGCTGAGGGAGGGTGTGGAACACACCACAATCCTCTCCAGCCTCCATCTCTGTCTTTCCTGGGAGAGGTTCTGAGGCCTCGTGGAGATTTACACAAAGCCTGATGCTTCAGAGGGGAAAATGCTCTGGCCATGCAAATTCATTCCGTTTTCCATCACTCATTTTGGGTGCAGGATATTTTCAGCACTTTCCCAGCATGCAAAGCAAAGACAGGATTGTCATGGAGAGCCCTGTGTGCTTGGAACGTGCCAAGAGCAGAGGGGCGTGAGCTGGTTTGGGGCATTCTCTCTGCTTCCCTACAAATGCCCAGTGGATGGCCCTTCCTCGGAGCTGAAGCAGTTCCCATTTCTCCTGTATGGCACTGTCAAATCGAGGCAGAGGGACGGGAAATGGTGAACAGAGAAGGAAGACTCAAGGGCAAAACTCCCGGAAGGACAGGGGGTCATGGAAGAAGGAATTCTGAGCCTGACATCTTAGAAAATGGATATGCAGTTTGCAGATCTACATCCCTCACACTGTCTTCTGGGAATGGCGAGAATTGTGGACTTTGTTTCCTTTTGCTCTGATATCTTTCCCCCCACCCAAAGCAGACCCTTTTGTTTAATTCTGATGCTGTAGGACGCACCCCGGCTTGCAAGCCAGGCTGTGAATCAGCGGTTTTTGAAAAGGATATGGTACCACAGCTCACACATGTATGTAATGCAGTATTTTCTTTTTTTACTTTTTTAGTATGGAAAAATTTAAACACATATGTAAAAGTAGACAGAACAGAATAATGAACTCCATTTTTTCTAGCATGCCATTTCAACAACTATTAACTCATGAGGATGGTGTTTTTGCTTTTTTAATTTTTTTTTTTTTTTTGAGACAAAGTCTCGCTCTGTTGCCCAGGCCGGAGTGCAGTGGTGCGAACACAGCTCACTACAACCTCAGGAGGCTCAAGTGACCCTCCTGCCTCAGCTTCCTGAGTAGCTGGGATTACAGGTGCAGGCCACCACACCCAGTTAATTTTTAAATGTTTCATAGAGAAGGGGTCTATGTTGCCCAGGCTGGCCTTGAACTTCTGGCCTGAAGTGATCTTCCTACCTCGGCCTCCCAAAGTGCCAGGATTACAGGCATGAGCCACTGCACCTGACCCCCAGTGTTTAAATGTAGCTACCATGACGTATGCATCAAAATCACCTACAAGTCTTATGAAAAATGCAAATTTCCTGGATCTCACCCCAGATCAAATATATCACAATTTGGGGGTTCAAGTCCAAGAACCGGCACATACCCCCAAAGGATTCTCACAGACAGTCAAGTGTGGGGGGTCACTGGTAGCGGTTAGATAACTCGGGCTGGGGTCCCAGCCCTGCCACTTACTAGCTAGGTAGCTGAACAGGTGATCTCCATTGGAGTACGGGCTTTACGGGGTTGTCATGGGGAATAAACAAGATCTCACAAGAAGAGCACCTAGCACAGAGTCAGCGCTCATTAAACATCCTATGCAGTTACTCACCGGCCTAACTTACGTTTGACTTCTAAGCCTTGAGGAAAATGTGTGCCAAGGTATGGGGGAGGCGGCAGGGCTTCCGAGAGAGCCGTCCTCCCATCCCAGCCCTGCCATCCTCCCACACGCACGCTGCCGTCCTCCCATCCGCGCCCCGCCGTGCCTAGGTGGAGAGGCGGCAGGGCTTCCCGGAGAGCCGTCCTCCCATCCGCGACCCGCCGTCCTCCCATCCACATGCCGCCATCCTCCCATCCACGCACCACGTCCTCCCATCCACACCCTGCCACCTCTCCCTGGTGGCCTTGCCCTTCGTGTATCTGTTCAGGGCCATTGGTGAACAGAGAAAAAAACTACTCTAGTAAAAAGCAAGTTTCCTTTCATTATAAAGAAAAGTGAAATAAATTGTTAAACATCTACTTCTAAATTAAGAATAAGTGGGCCGGGCGCAGTAGCTCATGTCTGTAATCCCAGCACTTTGGGAGGCTCGGGCAAGTGGATCACCTGAGGTTGGGAGGTTGAGACCAGCCTGGACAACATGGCGAAACCTCATCTCTACTAAAAATACAAAAATCAGCCAGGTGTGATGGCACACACCTGTAATCCCAGCTACTCGGGAGGCTGAGGCAGGAGAATCGCTTGAACCCAGGAGGTGGAGGTTGCAGTGAGCCAAGATCGTGCCACTGCACTCCAGCCTGGGCAACAGAGCGAGACTCCATCTCAAAAAAATAATAAATAAGAAAAAATAAATAAGAATATGTGATGTTAAATTCTACCCAATTAAAAGCAATTTTTTTTTTTTTTTGAGATGGAGTTTCGCTCTTGTTGCCCAGGCTGGAGTGCACTGGTGTGATCCCGACTCACTGCAACCTCCGCCTCCTAGGTTCAAGTGATTCTCCTGCCTCAGCCTCCAAAGTAGCTGGGATTACAGGTGCGTGCCACCATGCCCAACTAACTTTTGTATTTTTAGTAGAGACGGGGTTTCGCCGTGTTGGCCAGGCTGGTCTCGAACTCCTAACCTCAGGTGAGCCACCCACTTCAGCCTCCCAAAGTGCTGGGATTACCGGCATGAGCCACTGCACCTGGCCTAAAAGCAAAAAAAAAAAAAAAAAAAAAAAAAATTATTATTATTTTTTTTGAGACAGAGTTCCTGTCTGTTGCCCAGGCTGGAGTGCAGTGGCACAATCTCAGCTCACTGCAACCTCCACTTCCAATTCTCCTGTCTCAGCAATTCTCCTGTCTCAGCCTCCCAAGTTGCTGGGACTACAGGCACACACTACCATGCCCAGCTAATTTTTTTGTATTTTTAGTAGAGACGGGGTTTCACCATATTGGTCAGGCTGGTCTCGAACTCCTGACCTTGGGTAATCCACCTGCCTCGGCCTCCCAAAGTGCTGCGATTACAAGCGTGAGCCACCGTGCCTGGCCAAAAGCAAATTTTTTAAAAATTCCAATTTGAGTTGTGATCTAGAAAGGGAGGATGGAGTGGAAGAAGAGAAAGATAGGGGGAAGGCTGAAGAATTAAAGATCATGCCAGGGAGGCAGCGAACAGGAAAGCCAAGACCACAGAAAACAGGTGCTCAAGGCGAAAGGCAAAGGCAGGAGAGAGGGCGGGGCGGGGCAAGGAGCCTTGGTGCGGGACTCCACTCTCCTCGCTCACAGGGCGGCGGTCCCATCTCACGGCATCTTAGGCTTCCAGGAAGGATTTTCGAGAGGCACTTTTATATATTTATAGATGAAATGATATGTCTTGGATTTGCTTCAAAATAATCCAAGGGGCAGGGGAGGTGGGTGTGTGCAGGGATGGAGCTCGATTGCCCTTGAGTTTGTAGTCTGGGGTTGAGCAGAGGACACACAGGGCTTCAGTACGCTCTTTTCTCTTTGATAAGTGCTGGAGATTTGCCTAATACAAGTTTAAGAAGTTTAAACATTTACAACTATACACAAATCAGGAAGTTCACAGGCTGATGTCAGCCCCATGGGTCAGATGTGGTGCTGAACCTGAGGTGCCCTTGGCCTTTAAGAAAACCGGAGATTAGAGGAGGCCGAGTGTGAAAGTGTTGATTATGACATGTCAGGCAAATGTTTGCCAAGTGAATGGATAGAGACCTCCATCGGGTGAAAATGCTTTGTGTTCAAGCCCCCTTTGTGACCCTGGGCACCTGTTAGAGAAGCAGGGGCTGGGCAGGGGTCCGTATGTGGACTCCCAACAGAGCAAGCCCACCTTGTCCAGGCAGGGCTTGGATCCACAAGTCCTGGCCTCACCACTCCAGGCTCAAAGGGCAGCCAGCCAGCTACATACTTGTTCCCATGCTTGACACGCACAGAACCCCGCCCAGCCTTGCACTTAACAGGTGCATAATAATCCCTTAGGAAGGAGGGTATGGGACACTGTTGCCCCATTCTGTAGAGGTGGAAACTGAGGCTTAGACATAATCAACCTAAGAATGGGACTTCATATAAACTCATTCTGCAAAGAACGGGGACCAGTGAAATTAGCAGTCAGTGTTTTGAATTCCTGAAAGGAAACAGCGTCTGAAACACAGAGCCCTGCAGAAAGCACGTAGGCCTGAGCCACGCAGCTGCTCCAGCCCCCAAGCCCGCGTGGAGCAGAGATGGGTACACACCCCGCACCTTCAGCTTCCAGAGCGTTTTAGGGAAATGAGTGTTGGCAGGAAGGGGAGCAGTGGCGACTTGCCCCACAAAAATTCGAGGCAACAAAAGAGGGAAAGAGGTGGGCCGGGTGTGGTGGCTCACGCCTGTAATCCCAGCACTTTGGGAGGCCAAGGTGGGTGGATCACTTGAGGTCAGGAGTTCGAGACCAGCCTGGCCAACATGGCAAAACCCTGTCTCTACTAAAAGTATAAAAATTAGTCGAGTTGGGTGACGCATGCCTGTAATCCCAGCTACTCGGAAGGTTGAGGCAGGAGAATTGCTTAAGCCCGGGAGGTGGAGGTTGCAGTGAGCTGAGATCGTGACATTGCATTCCAGCCTGGGCAACAGACCGAGACCCCATGTCAAAAAGAAAAAAAAAAAAAAAGAAGGAAAGAGGTTGCCTTCATAAAGCTGTAAAATCGCATAAAAAGAGGGTGCAATCAGTCATTGACGAGAGTTACCCAAGAGACTGTAATTACATGGTTAAAGAATTTGGAAACACCTAGAACTCCACTCAAGGTGACTGGGGTCATTTGCAGGGAGGCAAGAATAATATTTGACTTGAATTTCATATGCAGGAACTTTCTGGAGAAACGCCAGGTGAAGAGAATGGCAGAAGGGTGGTGTCCCAAGGAAAGGGCAGAAAACAGGTGGCTCCAGATGCCTTTTAAGAGAAGGGCTGCCCCGGCCCCAGACTCACCGGCTGGTACAGTGACCACTCAGCAGCTCTGGACTGGCTCCCGTGTGGCCCTGCCAACAGGATGGGGAGGGCCTGGCATGTGTGAGTAGCCATGCCCACCCACGTATTTGCCTACTATGCCTGCCAACTGGGATGAAAAAGCTTTGGATCTGGCTAAGTTTCTGTGAACCAGGTAATAAATCTGTTCTTGGTGTGCTGAAAATAGTGGGGTTTTTCAGCCTATAAAGTTGATGAGCCACCCTGAGCCTTGGGGACCCACCAGGAAAGCATCTCCTCATGAGAAAGGAGCTGGCCTTGACCTTGCTGGGGACCTGCCTCAAATTCACTATCCCTGCATGGGTAGGTGCTTGTCATTCTTTCTGCCCACGCAGCATCTTTTTACACCTCCTCTATGCCTGACCTTGGGAGTGGGGGGAAGGGGCTCTGATGTGAGGGTCGTCCTGGGCCAGACTCAGCTTCTGCTACATGGAAGCAGATGCCAGGCAGGAGGTCCTGCCTTCCAGAGCAGACACTATCTTAGTCATCTTGGGCTGGCAGAACAGAGCACATAGATGGGGTGGCTTACGTAACAGAAGTTGATTTTCTTACGGTTCTGGGGGCTGGAAAGCCCAAGGTCACGGTGCCAGCCCTGTTGGTTTCTGGTGAGGACCCTCTTCCTGGCTTGCAGACAGCCGCCTTCCCATGGTGGTGGGTGGAGGGGGGGGTAGAGCTCTTCCTCTTCTTGTAAGGCCACAGTCCTATCAGCTTACAGCCCCACCCTTATGACTTTATTTACCCTTAATTACCTCCTCAAAGCCCTATCTCCAAATAAGCCACATCGAGGGTCAGGGCTTCAACGTATGAATTCGGGGGACACGATCTGGTCCACAGCACGGCACGAGTCCTCCAGCTGCATGCAGGTCATGGTGGCTGTGCCCAGTGCCACGTGGGCCTCCGTGTCCCCGCTCTGTAAGTCATGGTGGGCTCCTCTCGGAAACCCACCAAAGTCCCCAGTAAAAGTGCTGAGTAGCTCATGAAGTCCCCAGGATGCAAAAAAAAAAAAAAAAACCCAAAAACAAAACAAACAAAAAAACCCAGGTTTTTTTTGCATCCTGGGGACTCTGTGAGCTATTCACTGCTTTTAATACATTTTTGGGATCCACTACAACCAGCCAGAATGAATCTCTGGGCCCGTAGCTGACTGGAGGGACCCCTTCCATGGAGTCCAAAGATGACGGCTCAATGGGATTCTCTCATTCTTGTCCACCAAACCAGAAGGCAGGTCTGCCCACCTCCCCTGGCCCTTCTGTTCAAGAACTGGCTTCATCTCTCTTCAGCATCGGCCTCTGAGACCTAAAGGGCTGCCTGTTTCCCTGTGTTCCTGAGGGTGCCAGCCTGCATCTTGCCAAGTAGTTTCTTAGACTCAGATGATTCCTGTTCTCTCTGTGCTCAGACTTTCCAACCCACCCACAAACATTCATTAAGCCCCTGATAAGTACAAGGCCCCGAACTCAGGGAAATGGAGGGGACTGAAGGAGACGTGTGCCACCCTGTTCCCCGAGCGTTGCTCCGGGAGACGAGATGTATCTTGCAACCAGCTCAGCGGTGGAAGCAGTGGAAGTGCAGACAGAAAGCCCCATGGCAGAAGGGAGAGAGGTCCTGCCCCACTCCCGGTCTCTGCAACATGCTTCCCGGCCCCGGCACGCTCAGCCCTGGTCCAACTTATCATACAAGTTCTTGGGCAAGTGGGACTTTATGAAGGAGGTAGTCACAGAGACCCACCGCTCAGGCCTCCTGCTGGGGGAGCTGGGCTATAACTTCCGCTTCCCCCTTCACACAGAGACCATGCTCCCAACCCACCCCAAACCCGCCAGCACCCTCAGCCCCTGCCCTGGGCTGCTCCCAGCCAATGCCTAAGCGCCGGGTGCTGGGTCACCCTGAGACTCTCGCTGTCCAATCTTCCCTGCCACCGTGGCCGCAGGGGTCAGAAAGAAGATGCCCCCTGTCTTCTGCCTCCTACCCTCATCCTTCCCGGGCAGTTCCCCCAGTGAGTCTGGTGTGTGTTGAGTCCTGTCCTGGCACCTGCCTCTCAAGGGACCTGCATTCCTGCCTGGGTCCCGCCCACAGCACCACTGTCTTGCGATGGGCACTGTCACTCCCACCTGGCTTCCCAGAGCCTATGTGGGCCTGGCACCCTGATCTGTTCTCAACAAGAAACTGGAGCCTGCCCCTCCTCCCCCTGAGTTTGCCAGGCAGCCTGTAAGTTGGGGCTCCAAGTAACGCCTTCCCTGGCCCCTGTGCCTACTGAGGTAGTTCTGTTATTTCACTGAGGCCGCCACATTCAATCTGCACCTTCCCATGGAACTCTCCCAATTGGCTGTGCTTGCTCTGCCCAGGTCCAGACCAGGGGCAGCTCTGGCCCAGTCCTGGGCTCCTCCAGGTCTGTGAGCACCCCCAGGGGATGTGCTTAGGTCAGGGTGAGGCCTGGCCACTAGCACTGGCCCAGGGGCGAGCCCTTCCAAGATGGTCCAATCAGAATCAGGGAAGGGCCCTCATTCCACAGTAGGGGGAAATGCCCTTTCTTCTTTCTCTCCCTCCAGATCATAAACCTACAAACTCCTCCAGTGGCTGCAGACAGCCGTTTGTGACCACAAGGAAAGGTAGTGGAAGCCCAGATGGACACAGAGAGAAAGAACACAGACTTGCTGGTCTGGGACAAGCATTGTTGTTCAAGCCAGTTCGCGTTTGAGTTTCTGTTACTTCCAGCCCCAAAAGCACCCTAGATAGGAGAGTCTACCTAATACAGCAAGACCATGGCCCTTTCCAGAAAGGGTGGAGGCTGCTAGCTCAGGAGGTCGGTCTATAGGCAATTAAATCTCTGTGGGTGTAACACAGACTGTGTTCTTACTGCTATTTGTGGAAAACAATTTTCTTAAAATAGATAGAACAGACCTTGACACCCTGAAGTCAAGCACTGACAGCCTCTGTTTTGAAAACAAAGCACCGTCAAGCTCTAGAAAATGCATGCAGGGCTCCAGAGCCCGTCCAGATGAGCAGAAATGGCAGAGGGGGACAGAGGGGGATGAAGGAGGAGAGAATGGAGGGGATGGAGGGGGATGGAGGGGATGGATGGGGACAGAGGGGGATAAAGGAGGACAGAGAGAATGGAGGGGATGGAGGGGGATGAAGGGGGCAGAGGGATGGAAAGGGATGGAGGGGGACAGGGGATTGAGGGGAGAGAGGGCAATGGAGGGTTTGGAGGGGATAGAGGGGACAGAAGGGCATGGAGGAGAATGGAACGGGAGGGAGAGGGTCAGAGGGGATGGTTGGGGACAGAGGGTAGTGGTGGGGGGAATGGAGGGGGATGGAGAGGGATGGAGCGGGGTAATAAGGGCAGAAGGAACAGAAGGAGATGGAGCAGGCAGAGGGGATGGAGGGAATGGAGGAGAATGAAGAACAGAGGGGGGTGAAAAAGGACAGACCAGGGTGGAGGGGCATGAAGGGGGCAGAGGGGATGGAGGGGACACAGAGGGCAGAGGGGGACAGAAGGATAGAGGATGTCAGAGGGCTGGATGGGGCAGCCTGGCCACCTACCCAGGCATGGGAGCCAGAACCCTGCAGCCGCCCAGCACTCAGGCTTTTCTGGGGTCCCATCCCTGCAGCCACCCATCCTGCATCCTGAAGCGGGGGTCCTGTCCCCTCTCTGCATCTCGAAAATGCCCCTTCCTGCTTCCTCTGCCATCTCCTCGGTCACTCTGGAGCTGCCTTCTGCCTACAACTGGAGCTCTAATGCCAACAGGAAAGGGCTGAAGACAGGGCCAGGGCCAGGGCCGGGGCCAGGGCCGGGGCCGAGGCCAGCACAGCGCTATGGGGCCCAGCTGGGGTGCCTGAGGGCCTGGCTCCCCAGAGCACGTCCTCCCTCCAAGGCCTCTCATGCAGAACCGAGGGTGACCAGCCACCTCCCACAGGAGGCGTGCCACCCCTCTGCCCCATGGTCACCTAATGTCCCCCTCCAGGCCTGCCCGTGACAGTGGGGGACATATGCTAGGACCCCCTGGGGCAGTCAAGGACATTCTACCCTGTTGGCCAGGGAGCAGCAGGGTAGGCCCCTCTAAAATCTGAGTAGAGATTTAGTTTGTCTGGAGAAGACAGATGTTTTGGCCTCGGATATTCACAGTGTCAGGCCAACGTCCCATCAAGCATGTACCAGCCAATTATGTTTGCTTTCATAGACGTTATCTGGCCTTACCATTCCTCTCTGACCCAGGTCCCTTAGTTCCCATGGTGACTCTGTACAAACACTACACATACTCCTTGTCCTAGATTCTTTCCCCTTATCTGCCTATCCCAACCCTGCTACTCCCTCGAGGCCCAGTTCAAGGCCACCTCCTCCATGCAGCCCACCCTGACTACTCCTTCCCACACAATCACCTTGCAGAATTCCTCAAGCGTGGCTGTGGCATTCTGTCTTGTGGGTGAGCTGGCTATTGTTTCCTGCATGTGAATATGATGGATGTTGTAGAATCCTCCTGGCATAGCTCCTAGTGCCCACAGCACAGTGAGCCTGTAACCCGTATTTCTCATTAGTTGGCTCTCTCATTTACCCCCAGAGACATTCTTTACAATGCAGGTGTAGACTCAGATGTGACCAAGACTTTGCTATCTTATAAAAGGGGTTCAGCCCATTGCAGTCTGGTTTTCCTAGCACCCTTCCTCCTGACGAGCTATGTTCAGGGGAGCGTTAGTTCGTTACCTGCTTGACATGGCACTGCCTGCCAACCTCACCTTAGGAAAAGGGTAAATAAGTTTACAAACATTAGGATGGGTGAAAGCAGCCATCTTTCAGCCAAGGATGTCTTGCCATTGGCATCCTTTCCTCTCCTACTCTTGGCATCAAAACTTCCAGCGAAAGGACTACCATCACTTACCCCAGCTCCCTCCCCAGGGGTCTCCTCGTGGAGCTCATCTCTCACTGAGGAAAGAAGGGCTCGGCTTTGATAAAGGAATGCTAGACTTTAGCAGGTGAGTGGCGGGGGTAGGATCCTGTCTATTCTCCAGAAATGCCATGAGACTCCCGTGGGGACACACGGACATGCAGCCCCATGCTCTGCGAGGTTCGTGTGCAAGGGAAGCCGAGAGTGTGCACCGCCGCCTCCCCACCATCAGCCAACAGCTCAACACCGATTCCCAGTCCCGGCTGTCACAGGCACTTCTTATTATGGATGTGCTACTAACACACAGCAAAACTGATTAGATAGGCACAGGCCCGGCAGGTCCCCATTAAAGGACATTCTTCCCTGCCCCAGAGGCCTTTTAATCCTCCAGCTGCTCCCCATTTCTGAGCACCCCAGCCCCACAACCACATCCTTGGCTCCTCTTTTCTTAGGTCTCTGCCTCCCAAAAAGTGGAAAACGGAAGGCTGCAGACAGGAAAGACATCCCCTGCAGCCTGCCCACTCCTCCCCTCCACCGCAGGAGAACTGGAGAAATTCTATGCTAGTCACCATCTCTTTCTGTGTCCACAGCCCCGGCTCTGAGAGGTGGACCACAGTGACGTTGTGCATCTCCTGGGCTGAATGTCAGTTTAGAATCAGTGTTCTGTCACCTCCAATACCCTTTCCCTAATGCCCAGTTGCCCTGGTAAAAGCCATAAGTCCCTTTGGGGAAGAACGGGAGAGAGGTTAATAGTATACATTTTTGGTAGTGCAGTGGAGTCCTTCTTCAAGGGGACCCAGCCTCCCCCTCCACTCAAAGAGTTCTGGGTCTGGAAACTGGCTCAAGCCTAAGAATTGATTGAAGGACCATGACGCATTCGAGCTAGACTTTTGTTCACTTGGCCTACACTTCTACTTATACAGATCGAGTTAGAATGTAGTAGGCTTCCCATCCATTTCACTTCTAAGAACATGGTGGCGAACTGGCCCACGCCCTAGGTCACGCGGCCCACCCCAAGGAGTTGAGTCTGACGGTCCTGATGGCTGCTTGGCCTCTGCTTTCGCCGATGGGCCGCACCTGCCTTGCCTTTGGTGATTGTTTCCACTTGGCCCCTGCCATGCTGGGACCCAGATACTCCCACTTCATTTAGGATCCCTGGTCAGTGGCAGTAGGTCCCCCTGTGATTTCCAACCTACAGGGAGCTCTTCAAGGGCGCTGGGCTCCCTCACCACAGTCTTGGTGAAAGGTGTGTGAGTGGCAGGTGAGTTGGTCTCAACTGGCAAATCCTCTCCAGTCTCCCTGAGCCATGATGCCTCCCTCTGCAGCAGACGCAGGCGTTTCTGGTGTTTCAACTCCGTTCAGCATGGGCCACCTTTGGGTCCATGTTTCAGCCAACCCGCCCGTGAAGCCTGAAGCAGCTCCATCTTGGGAGCAAATCCTCCACCTCGGCTTCTGATCAACCCCGGTTCCAGCTGATCTACTGTTCTGTGTAAGAGCAAGTACTTGTCATAAATCCTGCCCTTACGGCAAATCAACCTTGATAAACTCCACGGTAAATCCTGCCCTTAGGCATATTCCTACACCTTCCCTCTGGAGCACCATACCTTTGCCCTATGTATAGAAGCCCTGGGTCCGGGGGGTGCTGGTGGGGACCTACCTGTCTTGTGGTTGCCCAAGACTACACTTCTGCCCGTAAGTTCCCCCAATAAAATCACCCTATAACAACACACTGGATTTGTCTGTCTTGTTCTTTGGTTTCTGGGCTCTTTCTGCATTTGGGGGTCGCTTTGCATACAGGGCCCTTTCACAGACACAGCCAGACAGACTGCAGGGCTCTTCCAGCTCCCAGCCCCTTTGTCATCCTCTCAGCAAGCCCAGGGATGGGCATCTCCACAGAGTCTGTCGGCCCTGCTGTCCCTCAGAGGTTGCACCTGCTCCCGTCCTCCCCTCCTGAGGAAGGGGGTGACTGGTGACTTCCCAAGGCAGGGAGGTTCCCACAGGCCATGCTGCTCAGAGCCCGAGGATGGGAACTTCTGCGCGGGCCCTTGGAGGGTAGAGCTGGTGCTGGCTCACTTGTCTCCAGGTCCCGTCGTCGCCCTCCCAGGCGCTCCCTCCCGGCACTTCCCGGGCTTTGGGCACCCTTGCTTCCCTCTTTTCAAAGGACCCTGTGCTCTCGGACCCTGCGCAGGATTCCAGAGCTTGCACACTCCCTAGCCGGAGCAGCCGCTTGCCCGCCCCACAAGTGCGGCTCTCCGCGCCACGCTCCCTCCTGCTAGGGCTCCAAGTGCCGACTTGCAGAGGCCTCGGGAGTGACAGTGGAACAGAGGGTGGCACCGGCACCAGAAAGCACCCCCCGAGCCTAGATTTCTACCTTCAGAAACTCCGACAGTGGGGACCCGGGGCGTGGCGGGGCTGCTCAGTGCGTCCCAGCTCCTCCTCGGTGCCCAAGGAGGCTGCCACTGTGGCCGTGAGTCCAGGAGAGGCCTCCCAACCCTGGCCTGTGGATGCATCGACCCCTTTCACCGCGCCTGACGTGAGTACTCCTGCCCCTTCACGGGCCAACAGGAGCGAGGTCGGCCCTGCCTCAAAGGGCCTGTGATCCCCCTACCGTGTGATGATACAAAGAGCAGGCGAGAAGCAACCCACGTGTCCATCGACGCATGAACAAAATGGGGTCCACATGCACAGCAGAATATTACTCAGCCTTAAAAAAGAGGGGGATCCTGCCACCCGCCACCCACACACACGAAGGACATCTGTGTGGACATGATGCTTGAGGGAAACAGGCCAGTCACAAACAAATACTGTCTGATTCCGCTGACGAGAGGTCCCTGGAGTCATCAATGCATAGAGACAGGAAGTAGAAGGGTGGCCTCCAGGGGCTGGGGAGGAGCATGGGGAGTCAGGGTTGATGGGCCAGAGTTTAAGTGCTTCAGGATGAAAAGGGTTCCGGAGATGGATGGCTGGCTGCACAGCCACGTGCGTGTACTTAATGCTACTGAGCTGTACACCTAAAGATGGGTACATTGGTAAATTTTATGTTATGCATATTTACCGCAGTGAAGAAAAAAAAAAAAAGAGCCAGGCTGGGTGTGGTGGCACTTTACCATTCCACAGAAGAGCTAATATCAAGAAACCAAATAAAACCTAGGCAAAAATACAATTATTTATAATTTGTATTCAATTATATACAGACAGTTCATACCAGACAGGAGAAGACAGATAAGACTTGAAGTGTGGGGAAGACCTCAGCACCCGGGGCCCCCAGGGCTGCACAGGGGCTGGTCTGCACCCTGCCTGTGCCCTTTCTGCCACTGGTGGGAGAAGAAAGAGGCCGAGAGGAGCTATGTCACTGCACCTCGAAATCCCGGTGGCTGAGCAGGTTGGGCCCTCCCCCACTTTGATTTTCTTTGATTTTTCTATCCTAGGGATGAAGGTGATCTATTTTTAGTGTAGAGGCTGGTATAAGGAGTTGCTATAGCGACAGCTGGTGGTTACAAACCAGGTCCTGCTACAGTTCCCAGTCATGAATAAATCCCAAGGCTGAGCCCGAGGAAGCAGGCAGCCTCAGAGATGGTGCTCCCTCTCCACAGGGGTCCCACCTGCTATCTTCATGGTGTGTCCTTCACAGGCAGCATCTAAGTCCTGCTAGTGGGGAAGCAGCTCAGGACATGGGGCGCTGGGGACTGCCCATCAGAGGAACCGAGGGCTTCAGCAGAAATGCATGCTGAGCCTCAACTACCAGGTGAGGCAAAGCACCTGCGTGTGCGCAGAGCCGGATGGTGGCAGAAGAGAGCTGGCATGCAGGGCGCCAGGTTAGGAAGCCTGGGGAAGTGAAGACACAGCACCTGCTTACAGAATCACCAGGGAGGCAGGACACACACACACACACACACACACACACACGCACACACACACAGAGCTGATGCCACATTATTTACTATGGCTGCGTGCGTACCCTACTACCAGTAATCTTAGTACGAGTCCAACAGAAAGGCACACCAACGCACAAGAGTGCCCATGAGAGCACTCTGTCACAGCCCCGACTGGAAACCACGGTGTCCATTAACAACTGGACGGACGCAGGAGTCGTTGTCTGGGCAGACAGCGGAGGGTTCTGCAGCAATGAAATGGAGTTGATGAACTTCAACGCCGCACGCAGGCACGGCTGCATCTCACAAAGTGCAAGTGAAAGAAGCCAGACCAAAAAAAAATCGTGTAAATTCAAAACCAGACGATGCCAATCTTGAGGGGAAGTAGCTGGGAGAGAGTATGGGGAGCTTCTGGGGTGCTGGCTACACAAGGGTGTTCAGTTTGTGCAAATTCGTCATCTATGATCTGTGCTCTTCTCCATATGCTTACACTTTAGCAAACTTTGCCTTAAACATTTTTAGAAGTTAGCACAGCATTGTTAGTCAAGTATCAAAAAGGTGATACTGGCTGGGCGCGGTGGCTCACACCTGTAATCCCAGCGCTTTGGGAGGCCAAGGCGGGCGGATCACCTGAGGTCAGGAATTCAAGACCAGTCTGACCAACATAGTGAAACCCCGCCTCTACTAAAAATACAAAATTAGCTGGGCATGGTGGTATGCGCCTGTAATCCCACCTACTCAGGAAGCTGAGGTAGGAGAATCTCTTGAACCCAGCAGGCGGAGGTTACAGTGAGCCAAGATTGCGTCATTGCACTCCAGCCTGGGCAACGAGAGCAAAACTCAGTCTCAAAAAAAAAAACAAAAAACAAAACAAAACCGATACTCAATGGTATTTGGTGTTGGTGGGCTTTGAGGCAGACCTGCCTGTGGGGGACTGGGACCTCCAGGAGGAGGCAGGGCCCTACGCCCCTCCAGGCTGTAATGAGTGCAGGGGCAGAGGCATCCAGCCATCGAGGTGGGGAGGACCCCAGGTGAGCCACCAGCAGCCACGGGAGCCCCGTGGGGAGGAAGGCAGGCTGGGGCAGCAGGAGACCAGAGCTGGGGTGCCCCTGGGCAGGGACTCTGGAAGGGCTAGGAAACTGAGGCTGATCACCCTGCAGGCTGGCGCACGGGTGCCTGCCTGGAGACGCAGGGGTTTGCTCCTTTTTTCTGTGCTGCCAACTGGACATCCCTCCTCAGGGTCACTGGCCACAGCTGCTCAGAGGTCACTCCAGACTGCAGCCACTCCCTTTCCATCAGCCTTAGCTGTTCTGTGATCAAAACAGGGCTGGCCAGGCCCAGGAGCGAGAAGGAGGGAGGGAGGGAGGGAGGAGGGGCCTTCAGGCCCTGTATCCCCTGGGAGGCGCAGGGCAGCCGGGTCAGCGTTCAGGTGCTGTTCATTGATGAACTCACTAGCATTAGCTGATGTGTCATCTCTTCCAGCCAAAAGTGGGGCCCAGCCAAGCATCTTAGTGATGTGAGTCATCAAAACTTCCTCCTGGGTCTGCTTTGAGCCCCACCTTCCTCCTCCTGCAGTCATGCTCTTAGCCTCAGGGCCCTGGGGCGGACGCCCGGACACTCCCCCAGCAGCCTGCTTTCCAGAGGCCACTGCGCTGCTCAGCTCCGGGGGCCCGTCCTCCGTGGATCCCTCCAGGCCCAGCAGAGTGTTTGACCACGGGCCTGACCGGGAGGGGAGACGCCACCTCCTGGGGACTTGCACCCCAACCAGCACCACTGTCATGAGACACCCGGAGGCCAGCAGTCCCCAGGGCCCCAAGAACACACAGCAGCACCAGAGACTGCCTTGGCCCTCAGGGAACGTTCATGTTGATTTACGCTGAGAGCACCTGGACTTTGCCTATTTTTTTCTTCTCAATCGCTAAAAGACAAATTATTACCGCAGGGCAGAATTCATCTTGCTCTCTGAATGTACCAAGTGCTCACTCTCATCTGGAAATTGGAACCCCGGGTGACCATCCTTGGGTGCCAAGGCTCCCTGGACCCACGCACAAGCCCTGAGTGAGGTCCTGTCTCACAGGATGGGGGTGACAGAGCAGCAGGGGCTGGCCAGCACCCAGCCAGGCTGCGGCCCCAACCCCAGGTCACCAAGCTGTGGTGGCTTCTCTGTCACCGTCCAGAGTCACTATTTTAAAAATACACCCCCTTTTGAATCTCCTTTCTCCCTGCTTCATTATTTACCCCTTCAGGCTCTGAAATCTTTCCCTTTCGTCTTCGGACACTTTCAGACGCTGCAGTCCTGGAATTGTTTGTCCAGTGTTCAGCTTCTCTGCTGGGAACCCGGGCTCTCCAGAGGGCGGCTGCTCCCAGAGCCACGCCACTGTCACGACAGCTCACCTCTCACAGCCCTGATGAGCGCCCCTGGGAGAGCACGCACCTCGCTGACACCCCACCAGCGCCCAGCCCCGTCCACAGGCGATGCTCACCTGTTCCTGGGGATTTAGTCTTCCTGACTTAGAGCAGCAGCTCTGGGTGACTGGGATGGGGTCAGAAAAGGGAAAGGGGCACTTGACCGTGACATCCAAGGACACGCACCAGAGCTGCTTTGCTACCCTGCCACCCTGTGAGGTGACAGCCGCCTGGCCTGCTGAGTGACTCCGGGAGTCCTCGGGGAGCAGCACCTCTGGGAGAGCTGGGCCACTTGTCCAGGGTTCCACCAGGCAGCGCTTGGTGACAGTGACGTAGGGAGAACAGGCAGATGGGTTATGAGCTTTTCCAGGCATGGATGAGAGTGGGGCGGACAGGGGGTGGCGGGCGGGCCTCACCAAATCCACGGCTGGGAGTGGAGAGTTCTCAAATTGTGTGAACACTGTCCCATCATCCCAAATGCTTCTACTCACTGGCTACAGTGTCCGAAACCCCCCAAAGACCCATCCTCACAAACAAGGATGCCGCACCCCTAGGAGTCTTCTGTTTGGACACATCCAGCAGAACAATGGGCACCAGGGCTGGACGGTTTTGGGTGGGAACTGGCAAAAGGAGAGGTGGGTGGGGGCCGGGGAGGGCCTTGGAGCCAGAGGGGTTGGGGGAGGGACAGCCTCAGCCCCAGCTGTCTGGCACATAATAGGCTCTTAATAGTGGGCTCAGCCCCAGCTCTGTCCGCACTCCACTTGGGCAGGCCAGTCCTTAGCCCATCGGTGCTCAAGACCCCCGAGGGCCTTCATCTCAAGCAGGTGTGATCCAGAGCCCTCCCACGGTCCACAAGAGGGGCATACACTGGCTGCTGTGCCCAGCCTCAGCCTCATCTCCTACCTGCCAGAGACCGGCTCCTGTGGCTCTGCCTGCTGCCGTCCAGCCCCGCAGGCCTCTCGGAGTCCCTAGAACACACCGCAGGCTCCCTTCTGGGGCCTGGCCTCTCCAGCTCTCGGAAGGGTCTGAGCACAGGCATCCACACAGCCCTCTCCCCATCACCCACTGAACCGACCCCTCGCCCTGCCTCCACGGCATCACCACCACCTGACCTGGTGATGAAAATACGTTTGCCATCGAAACAAGGCAGACGCAAAAGGACAAACACTACGTGATTCTATTTCTAGGAGGTCCCTGGAGTTATCACATTCGTAGAAAGTAGAATGGTGTTTGCCAGGGGCTGGGGTCAGGGGAGTGGGGAGTTAGGGCTTAGAAGAGACAGTTTCAGCTGTGAGTGATGGAGGACATGGCAGGTGGTAATGCCTACACAATAATGGGAATGCATACGTGAAATGGTGAAGATGGTAAATTTGTATTATGTACATCTGACCACAATTAAAATCCCCTCATTCATCTACCCACTCTCACCAGGCCGTGTGGCCCCGAGGGTGCATGCATCTCTCACTCACTGCTGTCCCTAGTGTGGGAACAGAGGCCAGCACAAAGACCCTGAGGATGCAGGTGAGAATGACAGAACCTGTCATTGTTAACCCTGGAAGACAGATGCTGTTATACTGTTCTCCCTACTTCTGTATTCTTTCGAAAATTTCTGGCCAGGTGTGGTGGCTCACATCTGTCATCCTAGCACTTTGGGAAGCCAACGTGGAGGATCGCTTGAGCCCAGGAGTTCGAGACCACCCTGGGCAACATAGGGAAACCCCGTCTCTTTTTAAAAACAAATTTAAAAAGTAAAATAAAAAGAAAATTTCTATTGGAAAAAGGCAAACATATATATTGGGAAATTTCAGGGCAAAACCAATAGTGATACCAGCAGCCAGGCCAGCAGATGGGCGCCAGAGGCAGTGTGAGGACTATGAGGGGTGAGGAGGAGCAGGGGGGCTGGATGGGGGCGGGAGAGACCACAGGCTTGACTTCTCAGCCCTATCCCTCTGCTGAAGTGAAGAGCACAAGATGGTCCCCACAGGGCCATACTCAGCCAAGGGCAGGAGAGCCATGGCACGCAGTATTGGGGTGACCTGAATGTTCATGGGCCAGGAAGGATGCTGGCGTTCTGGGCAAGAAGCCGTTGCGTAGTCATGCGGTGTGGGCTCATGGAAGGGGAGGTGGGTATAAGGGCCAAGCGTCCTCAGAGGATGTGGTCTCCGGTCTTACTGGGACCCTGGGCACACAAGGATGAAACACCAGCTTCCTGACACACCGCTTGGACTCCTGGCTCCAGTGCTGGCCTCAGAAATGAGCCCTTAAGACGCTAAATGGTTTTTATTTAATTACTGCCCTGTAATTGCAGAGGGTGAAAGCGCTACTACAGTCATT